>NW_025791778.1:0-300000 GCF_000001405.40 Homo sapiens | reverse complement strand
TTTCAAATGTTCCTTAATTTTACTTGTCTTTGATGTTTCTCAATGTAGTGTATTAAAAATTCCATGTTAGTTGCTGATTATCTATTTCTTTCAGCATTTTTGGTTGTTCCTTTATGTATCTTGAGGCTCCATTATTGAGTGTATATATTTTCATGATCATTATATCTTATTGATTTATATTTCTTTTTGTACTTGTCTTTTATATTATTAAAATTATTCTATATTTTATTGGATTAATATTTGGATGTAATTCTTTTCTCATCCATTTACATTTAACCTTTCTTTATAACAACTGTCGTGAATCTGTTTCTTATAGGCTCCACATTTCTAGGGCTTGATTTTTAATTCAAACTAAAATTCTCTAACTCCTGATGGGTGAGCTTATGTATGTTTATTTTAGTTACTGTTATTTTAGCACATATCTCTGCCATCACATTTCAATATTTCTTTATTGTTTTTAACCCCTTTCCTGATTCCTACTGGCTAGATAAGATTTTGTTCTGCTAACTGGAAAGTCATGCATTCTATTTATATTTTTCTGGTGGTTACTACTAACTTATTAAGACCCATGCTAACTTTCTTTTTCTTACCTATGTCTTAAATTTATTTGTGTAATATCTGCAAGGCATTTTTCCTTTGATCCCAGAATGCTGGGATTATGATCCTAAAAGAGGTGAAATGTGTTTCAGGAAGTGCTCCAGCATAAGGCAAGTAGTGACAACATGACCAGTTCTAGGAAATTTTCCTCTAGCATCCTTCACATGAAGAAGTGTAAGAAAAATAACATATGTCTGAAAATATCCACACAATAAATTGGCTGAGTATTTGCCACATAGCCCTGAAATTTCCCAGTAGTTCTCTTGGATGTTAATGGCACACAGCCATCAGCTTTTTTTTCTATTTTGTTAGTCTTTTCCAAGAACCAATACCATGTATTGCTTGCATCCAGTGCTGCTAGTGAGAAGTCTGTTGTCAGTTTCATCGTGTTTCATTTTATGTAATGTGTTCTTTCTCTTTGTCATTATTATGCATAAATTTCACCACAATTTGTCTAGGCATGGCTTTGTCTTGTTTACTACTCTGCAAGCCTTCCAATCAGAGGCCTTCTTTCATTATTCTTTAATTCTTAGACATTTGTTTCTGTAATTTCTTCAAAAACCATTCTCTCCATTTTTATATTTCTGTTCTTCTGGGACACCAATTTTTATGCATTGCTACTTCTTTTAGCCTCTATATCTCTTAACTTTAATTATATATCTTCTAATTATTTTTCTTTCCCTACTTCCTTCTGAGAGAATTTTTCAATGTGATCTTCTAACTCACTAAGTAGTTCTTCAGCTTTATCCTTTCTATTATCTCATCTATTATATACTTTGCTTAAATAATTATAGTTTTATGCATACTATTTTCACCTTATTCTTTAAACTATTTATAGTTCTTCTTTTGTATAGCTTATTTTCATAAGTTTGTTATGCTTACTTTTAAATTCTTGGTTCTACAGTAATAATATCTCAGTTCTGATATTAACAGTATAAGTTTATTTTGCTTTTTAAGTACATATGTTTTCAAATATACCTACTATACCTAAGTAGGTTTACTTTCAAATATACCTACTTATTTTGAGCCAATATTATCAACTATTCTTTCTGATAATGTGTATGAAGAAGAGACATGGACTAGATCTAGTCCTTGTCAACCAAGATGAGATAGAGAAGAATGGAGAGGGTGCAGTCTATGGTGGAATTTCCTAAATGCCAGGGAATTCCAGTTAATCACTACTGTCTCATAGCCCCCTAATCAAACAATTCTTCAGGTTTGGATTTTACCTTCCATTCACCTTTTTCCAGAAAAAAAGCATTACATGAAAGAGTTACTGTAAATTATAATTCACCAACAATGGGATTTGAGGTGAGGGGAAGGGGAGGGTGAATGTCCAAGGCTAGTCAGTATACAGTTAATTAATATAAATTTTTGACCCAAGCAGATTTTTTAAATTGCCTTGACTGTTACCTGTGATGAAAACTATACCCGCAATCTGAACTGTTGCCACTTACTTCCAGTGAGAAGGCAGGAAATCACTGTCCAAAGGTGGGAATAGGAGATTTATTTTAAATATATCATACCACAAACATGATGGCTTACCCTCCTTCCCAGGCTGCAGCCACCACTAAGCCTTAACACACCAGTATTAAACAGACTCCATCCTCCTCAAAAGCTTCTTAGGGTTTTTTCATTATTTCCTAAGTTCCTAAGTTCTCTGTCTCTCTCTCTCTCTCTCTTTTTTGAAACAGAGTCTTGCTCTGTCACCTACACTGGAATTCAGTGGCACAGTCTCAGCTCAGCTCACTGCAACCTCCACCTCCCGGGTTCAAGTGATTCTCATACCTCAGCCTCCTGAGTAGCTGGGATTACAGGTATGTACCACCACACCTGGCTAATTTTTGTATTTTTAGTAGAGATGACGTTTTGCCACGTTGGCCAGGCTGGTCTCGAACTCCTGGCCTCATGTGATCCACCTGCCTCAGCCTCCCAGAGTGCTAGAATTACAGGCATAAGCCAACCACCCAACCACATAAGTTGTATAATGTTTCAATATATGGTTCCTCCATGACTGCTCTTGCAGTATCTGTAACCCATGCTACTCTGCCGTCTTGGCAAGAACCAGAATCAATATATGTCTCTTCTCTGCCATTTCCTCAATTCTTCTTCTGGAATGTCTCTGGGACCTATATTAGAGTTTTTCCATCTATCTTCCATGTCTCCTGTGGCAGCTTTAAAAACTTTTCTCCAAATTCTTTACCACTCCTTTATTCAAGAGGTAGGACATATGTCCCCTTATCTTGAATTTGGTCTCTGTGACTGCTTGACCAATGGAAAGTGTGGTGAAAGTGATACTTGCTGTTGTAACCCAGCTACCATGTTTTAAAGAAGCCCAGGCCACATAGACAGGTATTATGGTTCACTGCCAGCATCAATCATGGAAGAGAGGTCACCTCCAAATGATACTAGCTCACTGCCACTATGTCACTCTCAGCCTTTGAGTCTTTCTACCTGAGGCCTCAGGCATCACAGAGCAGAGACAATTCATCCTCATTGGGTCTTGTCTGAATCCCTGATCCATGGAGTCCCTGAGCATAATATGTCTGTTCTATGCCTTTAAGTTTCAGTGTGGTTTATCACAGTAGATAACATCTTTAAATACTCTTTCGTAATTTGTATCTTTTTGTTCAGTTATTGGGCAGATCTTAAAAATCTTCCTTTATCTCAGATAAAAGGGTTTACTGAACAACAAAGGGTTATTCTGAACAAACAGGGTTTACTGAACAACAAAATAAGGGTTGTTGAAAGGGTTTACTGAACAACAAAATAAATGATAGAATTGAATTATAACCTAAATAATAGAGTAAATATCCACGTGTCCATATATAATTCCATAGTTACATACCAATTTACTAATTTAGTCTTCATTAGCTTCCAGATTGAAGTTTATACTATCTATTGAGGTTTTATTACAATTAATAAGTTTCATTTCTAAAATTTCTGGTTGGCTATATTTATATGGATCCATTCTTACTTTATTTCAGTCTTTTTTTATTTCATAACTTACTATCTTTGGTGGGTATAACTTCTAAATTCATCTCTGCAAGCATCTTAAACAGTTTTATGTTGAATGACACTTTTTGAAAATGTCTTCCTTTTCATTCCTTTCTCTACTTATGTCCATTTCCTAGACCCTGGACATGGTCTAGAATCAGGTTGTATAGTAATGATTTGGGCTTCTGACCCAGCATGGTACTGGAAATAGTACAGATGACTACATTAAGTCTGTTGGCTACAGAGCCCAGTACATATTCTGGATGTTGTTTCTGTGTCCTCCAGCCTTCATAGGCCTGCAACATACCATAATGTATAGCTTCAGGAATTTTTTGGCAATGGCTTTTCAACCTTCCTTGACCCATCCTACCTCTTGGCTCTAACCAATGACACTGGCTTTTATTCTCCATTTTTCATGGTGAACATTTTGTTCCTGAGAGCCCATAAGAGCCAAACCAATGGTAGCCTATGCCAACTTCCCATCCTGATAGCTTGGAAATCCAAGGATTTTATCCCCACTTACCATTTTATGTCTGTTTCATTTCTGGTTTTCCTTGTTTTTGGTTTTTTTTTTTTTTTTTTTTTTGAGATGGAGTCTCACTCTGTCGCCCAGGCTGGAGTGCAGTGGTGTAATCTCGGCTCACTGCAACCTCTGCCTCCTGGCTTCAAGCGATTCTTATGCCTCAGCCTCCTGAGTAGGTGGGATTACAGGTGCATGCCACCACGCCCAGCTAATTTTTGTATTTTGTAGTAGAGACAGGGTTTCACCATGTTGGCCAAGCTGGTCTCGAACTCCTGACCTTGGCCACCCACCTCAGCTTCCCAAAGTGCTGGGATTACAGGCATGAGCCACCGTGCCTGGCCTTGCATTTTTTTTTTTTTGGCCAGGGGCGGGTAGTGGGGGGTACGGAGTTTAGCTCTTGTTGCCCAGGCTGGAGTGCAATGGCCTGATCTCGGCTCACTGCATCCTCCGCCTCCTGGGTTCAAGCGATTCTCCTGTCTCAGCCTCCCAAGTAGCTGGGATTACAGGTTCATGCCACCACACCTGGCTAATTTTTGTATTTTTAGTAGAGACGGGGTTTCATCATATTGGTCAGGCTGGTCTCGAACTCCTGACCTCAGGTGATCCGCCTGCCTTGGCCTTCTGGGATTACAGGTGCAAGCCACCACGCCCAGCCGCATTTTTTTTAATTTTTAATTTTTACCTGTTACTGCTGTATTTAGAGCAGAGCGTGGTACACAGAAGCATAAACTTACTTCACCAGCTTGACCAGAAAACTTTTGTTACTTTCACTTTTTCACATTCTGTTTCAGTGGTTTTTTTGTTTGTTTGTTTTTGGGGGTTTTTTTGTTTGTTTTTTTGAGACTGAGTCTTACTCTGTTGCCCAGGCTAGAGCGTGGTGGCATGATGTGAGCTCACTGCAATCTCTGCCTCCTGGGTTCAAGCAATTCTCGTGCCTCAGCCTCCCAAGTAGCTGGGACTACAGGTGTGAGCCACCATGCCTGGCTAATTTTTGTATTTTTAGTAGAGAGGGGTTTCCACCGTGTTGGCCAGGCTGGTCTCGAACTCCTGACCTCAGGTGATCTCCCCACCTTGGCCTCCCAAAGTGTTGGGATTACAGGTGTGAGCCACCATGCCCGGCCTGTTTCAGTGTTATATAAACACAACAAATACTTTAATAATGTTTTTTAAAAGTGTTACACATATTTGAAAATGAAGTCAGACTTTTGGTTGAAGAATGAATGTCCACTTAGTCACATACTTTGAAGATATTAAACTCTACAGAAAATAGCTATTTATATGGGATAATCATATGAATGAATTATGCTTCCAAGAATAAGACAAATTCATCCCTAAATGGAAAACAACAAAAAATGCACAAACATGATAAAGAAATTCTTTATTTTTAGGAGAATTACATAATATCAGACAGACCAATTCCATTTTTTGTATATCTGTAAGTCTAATTTCAGCATATAAGTCTATTTTTAAATAGTATCTCAGGTATATATAGCTTAAACTATATAAACATGTCTGCACAACAAATTTTAAAATTTTCAGTTTATATCTATTTTAAAATGTATGACTAATTTAAAATTATGTTAGTATAATTTTCATTTAAAGTTAAAACTTTATGCATGAACCTTAATGGGGTTACTTTATGATTGTTTAAAATAATCTAACATGTAGAGTTACAAAGAAATACTAATTTTGATAAAAATGTATTCTATATGGATAATTCCAGTCTTAAAAATCTGCTCTTCATCTCAGATAAAAGAGTTTGCTGAACAACAAAGTAAATGATAGGATTAGTTTGTAACCCAAATAATAGAGGAGATATCCAGGTATCCTTATGTAAAGAAATAACTAACTAAATAAGTGGGGGGGAAAGTAACAAGTTTTCCTTCCAGAAGAATTTTAATTAATGTAAAAGGAAATAGAGAAATAGAAAATCACCATTAGAATGCCACAATATTAATTGCCACAGGAAATATCTAGCAATGGATACTAAAATTGGTTTAAGCAGAAACATCATATTTGCATAGTTTCAAAGCATATCCCCCAAGTGTTTATTAATTACAAAGAGAAAAAAGTAACTTTATAGTAGAGAAACGTGGCAGACATTATGTTAACCAAGCGATCAAAATTAACATCACCTTAACATTACTTAAAAATGGCTAACATACTTAAAAATGGCTAACATGGTACATTTTATAAGTTCTTTACCACAATAAAAGAAAAAAGATTAATATCACCAGTAGTGTGACATTGGCATCACATACCTGCTGACGTGATGCACTGAAAAGGATACAATATCATTTCTGCAGTATTTTTCCCAATAATGCATTACCTCAGTTTAATAATGAGAAAACAAAGAATCCCAAACTGAGGGGCATTCTACAAATAACTGGCTAGTACTCTTCAAAAATCTCAAGTCATGATAGACAAGGTAAGAGTAAGGAACTGTCACAGGTGGTAGAGACTAAGGAGCCATAACAAATGCTTTGCAGGATCCTGGATTGGATCCTTGAATAGAAAAAGGACATTGGGGGAAAACTGTTAAATTTGAATAAGATCTGTAGTTTACTTCATAGAATTATACCAAGGTTAATTTCTTAATTTTGATAACTACTATGGTTATATAAGATGTTAGCATTCCGGGAAGTTAGGTGAAGGATATACAGGAACTATCTATAGTATTTTTGCAATTTTATGAGTCTAGAATTATTTCCTAATAAAAAGCCTTTTTGTACAAGACACTTTTCAAGGTTCTTAGGTTATAGCTTTGAATACATAGAAATAGTTATAATATCACTTGACACTTTGGAGAGAGTAATTGCCCTAATTATTTCCATTCTTTGTCTTAATTTGCTGATAGAGACCTGGACTTAATCTCAGCTGGTGTACAGAGTTCTCTCCAAAAACAAGTGGCCTACTTCACATTCAGTGAATTGATATATTCTTATTTTAAGTTATCAGGTAGGATTGGAATTTTCTTGGGAACTTGAAGTCTGAATAAAATTAGAGTGACAAAATTTTCACCTAAGGCAAAAATAAGAAAAATGGTGGCAAAATAATTTTTTATTAAATCGATACATTTTTTAAATTTAAAGGATGGTTTCTTTTATGAGATTGTTATCTTACCTTTTTTTTTCTTTTTTCTTTTTTTCTTTTTTTTTTTTTTTTTTGAGACAGAGTCTTGCTTTGTCGCCAGGCTGGAGTGCAGTGGCATGATCTCAGCTCACTGCAACCTCCACCTCCTGGGTGCAAGCAATTCTCCTGCCTCAGCCTCCCAAGTAGCTGGGACTACAGGCACATACCACCACACCCAGCTAATTTTTGTATTTTTAATAGAGACATGGTTTCACCATGTTGGCCAGGATGGTCTCCATCTCTTGACCTTGTGATCCATCTGCCTCAGCCTCCCAAAGTACTGGTATTACAGGTGTGAGCCACCATGCCCAGCCTATCTTAACCATTTTTATATTAAAATGCCATTTCGTTTATGGAATAATGGTGGCGTGAAGTGGTAGATTTTATCTCATTTAATGTGAAAAAATAAAAAGTTGACAAATCTACATCTTCTGTCCATTGTGTATGTGTGTATATATGTATTCATGAATTTCACTGCTATTTGAATATCAAAGTCTTAAAATCATGAATCTACACCATTTTCTTTTCCTATCCTTGACATTAAGCCAGTTTCCATTGATTATGTTCACATCATTAAGTGTAATGAAACACAGTTAATACAGTAGCTTTTACTTAAGCATGTTTTATTAACTAATTATTGCTTACCCATAAAAATTAATTCTAGGCTGGGCATGGTGCTGTAATCCTAGCACTTTGGGAGGCCAAGGCGGGTGGATCACCTGAGATCAGGAGCTCGAGACCAGCCTGGCCAACATAGCGAAATGCCAACATGGCGAAGCCCCGTCTCTACTAAAAACACAAAATTTAGCTGGGCGTGGTAATGTATACCTGTAGTCCCAGCTACTCAGGAGGCTGAGGCAGGAAGATCACTTGAACCCAGGAGACGGAGTTTGCAGTGAGCCGAGATCATGCCACTGTACTCCAGCCTGGGTGACAGAGCAAGACTTTGTCTCCAAAAAATAAATAAATAAATAAAAATTCTATCTCCTTTTTCATTTAAAGGAAATAGAAATTTCAGCATGCCTTCACCAATTGGAACACAAATACACTGGAACACTTATTCTATGTTTTGTGCAAGAAAACCTTTACTCTAAATCGGAATCATAACTCAATGTATGTAAAATATTTAATATTAAAAATAAAAGCAATTCATTGATATAGTGCATTTGCTTCATCTGTTCTTTAACATTTTAACATTGAAGGCAGCCATAGGTTACACCAGTTCTGCCCTAAGCATCTCTAACATCTAAAAAATAACAGCACTAAATTTTAGTGTATTCCTGGCCAACAGGTAAACAGCCAGGTGGTGCCATTAGGTATCAGTCATTAAGTCCAAGAATGAAGTTTGTATCAATAAACATGATTTGGTATATTTAAGAAGTATTTTAAAAGATAATGCTCTACCCTTAAAATACCAAGAGGATGTATTCTAGTGAGTCTGAATTTACACACATTTTTATAAAATAAGGAATATAATTAAAGCCTCATTAAAGCACACTTTTTTTTTTTTTGAGATGAGGTTTCACTCTTTTGCCCAGGCTGGAGTGCAGAAGTGCAATCATAGCTTACTGCACCCCTGAACTCCTGGGCTTGAGCAATCCTCCTCCTTCAGACTCCTGAGTAGCTGGGACTACAGGTATGAGCCACCATGCCCTTCTCTAAAGCAAACTTTTGACTTTCAAGGCACAGTTAGCAGTGTTGGGAGAATCCCTGAAATATGTTAATGTTTTAACATTGGCTTATTTTAGAATGAGAGGGCTCAGAATAGCTTATGAAATCAAACAGTGGTGATCAAAGAGAAGCTTAAGTTGTCTCCCCACTCCATTTCATTTTATGAATGATTTACTAAAAATGCCACTTTTTCTCAGTTTGCATGTGTTAACTTCAGAATACTCAGAGAGGAAAATGGCTTACAATCAAATCTAGTACTACCTGAAAATGTGTCTTTCCTTAATGCCACTTAATTAGTATTAATGAACTTTTTAATTTTAATGTCTTTTTATTTTATATTTGCTCTACAAACTACAAAATGGTTTACAATAAATGTTGTGTACACTTAATGGCACAAAATAGTTTAGAGTGTTCTGTAACACTTATTAACTACAGCAGGCCTTATGTATTTATGTATTTATGTATTTATTTTTATGTTTTTGAGACAGCGTCTCACTCTGTTGCC
This sequence comes from Homo sapiens, assembly GCF_000001405.40. Classification (NCBI taxonomy): domain Eukaryota; kingdom Metazoa; phylum Chordata; class Mammalia; order Primates; family Hominidae; genus Homo; species Homo sapiens. The sequence goes on along the minus strand of NW_025791778.1, from coordinate 290,575 downwards.
CAGGCTGGAGTGCAGTGGCACAATCTCAGCTCACTGCAACCTCCACCTCCCAGGTTCAAGCGATTCTCCAGCCTCAGCCTCTTGAGTACCTGGGATTACAGGTGCGTGCCACCACGACTGACTAATTTTTGTATTTTTAGTAGAGATAGGGTTTTGCCATGTTAGCCAGGGTGATCTCGAACTCCTGACCTCAGGTGATCTGCCTCCCTCCGTCTCCCAGAGTGCTGAGATTACAGCCATGAGCCACGGTGCCCAGCCGTCATACTTTATTTTTTTCCTCACCCACCCTCCATTTCCGTTTTTTCAAATAGATTTTCTCTGGGACTGCAAGGATAGACATCTGGATATAAAAGAGGGAGATTTGAGACTTGCCTATGGCTCCAAACAATCAAGAAATCAAATCTGGCTGGGCGTGGTGGCTTATGCCTGTAATCCCAGTGCTTTGGGTTTCCGAGGCTGGTGGATCACCTGAGGTCAGAAGTTCATGACCAGCCTGGCCAACATGGTGAAACCCCGTCTCTACTAAAAATACCAAAAAATTAGCTGGGCATGGTGGCGCATGCCTGTAATCCTAGCTACTCAGGAGGCTGAGGCAGGAGAATCGCTTGAACCCAGGAGGCAGAGGTTGCAGTGAGCCGAGATCGTGCCATTGCACTCCAGTCTGGGCAACAAGAGAAAAACTCCGTCTCAAAAAAAAAAAAAAAAAAAAAAAAAACAACTACATCTAATTTAATTTTGGAGAACATTCCTAAACTGAATCTCTTTATCCTTATGTCTGCCCTTATTCACATTTGCAAATAAGTGAAATCCTTTTCTTTCTCCACCCTTCCTCCCACCATGATTATTTGTGAAGATCACCATTTACCAGGCATTTCCATGATTATGATTATGAATGATTGCAGGCAAGGTATTGATCAAAGATAATCACTCATCAGGGACAAGAATTTAGAGATTCCTGAATAATAAACTATATCTCTGCTTGTCAAACCTAATCACTTCCCAATATATCAAAAAGGGAAGGTAGTTCTCTTCCCTATGCATGCATAACTTTCTACTGGAAAATAATTTAGAGGCAAATAAAAGGATCTCTCTATGGAACTAAGTATTTCCTGGGCCAGGACCAATGAACTTCTAAGGAAAATGTGAATAATGGCTTATTCATTACTTGCTAGCACAGAGATGGAAAAGCAGAAGTTCCTACCACATATGCATTTATAGAGGGTGACATTTCTTTAAACAGAATTCCAACTGGAGAAAGGGTTATAGATATATGATCTGGGGATCAGGATAACTGCTTTGTATTGAGTAAGCCTAGCCTCACTCTAGGTTTCCCATTTTCACCAAACTAAGTACTCTTATCTTTACTAAAGCTGCAATCTACTACCAGTTTTTGTTTTAATGAGGATGTAACATCTTTGCATACCAAGTATAAAATTTTGCTTCTCTTCTCTCACTGAGCCTGTAAATAGGAGCTACATATAGTCATCAGATACCTGGTCATGGCCCTCTAATCTCTGAGACTTATTCCTATCAGAATTTGGGGGCAAACTGGAGCCAGCCTCCATTTTTATCTCCCCAGTGGCATGAGGGAAAGGGAAGTTGGGCATAAAACGCTTAAGAAAGCGAAACTCACTATTACCAGTGCCAGTGGCTGAACACATTTCATATGGACAAGGCCGAGATAAGGATCCATTGCCTTGTCCTTGTACCAGGTTGTTAGAGAAATTACAGTCATCATAGAAATGCTCTTGAATTGTGAACTTTTCTCTATATTTAATCTTTTGGTAGACATGTATAATGAAGATCACTATGACAGAGAGGAGAAAGAGAAAGGAAAGGATGACCAGAGAAATGACCAAATATTTAGTGGATGGATTTACCTTTCTAGAATGCTTGGTTGGATCCTGGAACTGCAGGTAGGGCTCTGAAAAGCCATCTACCAGCAGGATGTTGAGTGAGACAGTAGTGGAAAGAGCTGGTTGGCCGTGATCCTGAACAAGAATGATCAATTTCTGCATCATGGGGTCTCTCTCAGATATCTGCCTTAATGTATGGATTTCTCCATTTTGTCTTTGAACAGAAAATAACCCAAGGTCAGTGGCCTTAAGTAGATGATATGAAAGCCAAGAATTCTGACCTGAGTCACCATCCACAGCCACCACTTTGGTCACTAGGTAGCCTGCCTCTGCAGACCTGGGCACCAGGTCATTGCAGGGCAAGGTGCCGTTCTGCAGTGGGTATAAGATCATTGGACGATTGTCATTGTCATCTAGGACAACCACTCTGACAGTAACTTGGCTACTCAGTGACAGGAAGCCCCCATCAGTTGCCTTTACCACAAATTGAAAATCTTGAATGGCCTCATAATCCATGGTTCTCAGCGCGTAGAGCTTCCCATTGCCTGAATTTATGGATATGTAAGCAAAGACTGAAAGATCTCCGTTTTTTGGAGGCAACAGAGAATATGTTATTTGGGCATTCTCACCCAAATCAAGATCCTCAGCATGGACTTTGCCAATAAAAACCGCAGGACTGTTGTTTTCTCGAACAGTCAAGATATAGGAATCTTCCCGAAATATTGGAGGATTGTCATTAACGTCGGATATTAGCACCTCTATCATAGTCTCGGCAGACAAGCTAGGTGGTCCAGTATCCATGGCAACAATGGTGATATTATAGCCTGAGACCTCCTCCCGATCCAAGCTTCTGTCAGTGACCAGTGAGTAAGAATTCCCAAATGTAGGTTTGATTACAAAGGGAAGGTCTTCTCTGAGGAAGCAGGTGACTTTTCCTCCCACTCGAATGTCCCGGTCTCTGATAGTGAAAAGGGCTACTACTGTCTGTGGTGGTGAGTCTTCAGGGAGTGGGCTGGACACAGAGGAGACCATCACTTCGGGAGGATTGTCATTCACATCCACCACTTCTACCAGGACTTTGCTGTGGGCAGAGAGGCCTCCACCATCTGTAGCTTGAATGTCAATGTCGTATGTTTCAATGGCTTCAAAATCGAGGGGTCCTCTTAGTCGAACTTCTCCATTTTGAGGGTCAATCTGAAACGTCTTGAGAATTGCTTCTGGGTTTTGAGCTAAAGAGTAAGTTATCGCTTTGTTGGTGCCCTCGTCTAGGTCCACGGCAGTCACCGTGGCCACCAAAGAGCCATTGGGGCTGTTCTCTGATACCTGGGCTCTGTACACCAGTCGCGAGAACTGGGGCACGTGGTCGTTGACATCCAGAACCACCACGTGGATGTGAGCTGTGCCAGACTTAGGCGGGGACCCGCCGTCCACCGCCGTAATTGTCAAGTTGACTTCAGGCTGCTCCTCTCGGTCCAGGGGTTTGTTCAGCACCAGCTCAGCATATTTAGGCCCGTGGCTGCAGAAGCGGGTGTGCAGGTGGAAATACCCATTGGCACTCAGGGTGTAGTTCTGGAGACCGTTAAGGCCCACGTCCAGATCCTGGGCGCTCTGCAGAGGAAAACGTGAACCCAAAGGGGTGCTCTCCGGAATCTTTAAAAGCGGCTCCTTGTTTAGGAAAACTGGGGCATTGTCATTGATATCAAATACCCTGACCTCGGCCCGGAAGGACTGCAGCGGCTCCACCAGGACTACTTCAAAGTGCAGAACACAAGGGTCGGCTTTGCCACAAAGTGACTCCCGATCCAGTTTCTCCTTCACAAACAAATCTCCCGTCTTGCGGTGGAGCCGGAAATGCATTTTGTTGCCCTCGGAAACCAGCCGCGCCCCGCGCGCAGCCAGCTTCCCTACCTCCAGTCCTAGGTCCTTAGCTACGTTGGCCACAAACGAGCCGCTCTCCATTTCCTCTGCCACTGAATAGCGGATAGTTGTCGCATCCCCCACAGATATGCACAGAAAAATGAGAAGAGATCCCACTTGCCTGTTTTGCAAAGATTTTCTGCGCGTACCCGCCATCAGTTCTCACAAGCGCGCTCTCTGCAATCAGAGCCAACTGTTGCGGATATACTTTCACTTTTCTGCAACAGGTTACTGCAACAGCTGCTCTCCGCTTCACTAGCCTCTAACTGCAGCACCACCAAAGGCTAGCCGAGCCCATTAAGCTGTTTTGCACTTGAAAGAAAATTTGCATTGAGCGACTCAACTCCCCAGTCTAGCGAATGTATTAATAGATATGTTCTCATTCCGGAGAGTTAGGTAGAGGTTGAAAGTTTGTTGCCAAAGCAACAACAGACTCACCTGTTAATTCCCTTTCAGGAAAAAAAGTCCTTGGGAATTGAGAAGCCAATGAGATTAGTCGTTCAAGCTGAAGTCATTCTATCTGCTAGCTGTCTGGAGCCACTGAAGCTGTGGGCGAACAGCAACAAGTTTAAGCTACATCTGCACACTCTGCGGTCCATCCAGAGACCAAGAAAGAAGCACAAGGATCCTGCAGAGTCTTCCGAAGCCCAAGCCAAATATATGAGGCAGGGAGCTAGAGAATGTGGAGGAAGTGGTCAGTAGGAAAAGGAATGGGAACAGACATTCTCCTTCAGAAACTTGAGGTCCAGTAAGTACACTGACAGGGGACTAAGCCAACTGACCTCTTGATTTGCACTACGCTATCATGCTACTTCTACGTATTCGCTCCGCCCCCCTCCAAATATCTGTATACACGTGCACAAAGGGAGCAGCTGGCTTGTCACTTATGATTATAATGGCAGTAGTATTTATTGGATATGATTTCCATGTACTGAGACTATGACAAGTGATTTACATGCATTATTTAATTTAATACTTGCAACAACTATATGGAGTAGACATTATTAAAAAAAAAAAAAGACAAAGAAAGTGAGATGGGAGAGGTTATGTCAAGGTCCCCTACCTAGCAAATGTTAGAAATAAAACTCAATTTAATTTTGTCTGACTCCGAAGTCTATGCTCTTAATCAGTACACTACTCTGCTTCCCAGATAATATAATGAATAAATCAAATGAAGATAAATATTTGGTTTTGGATTTTAAAGCAAATAAAATAAGATTGCTTACACATATTGAAAATGACCTAATAGAAATATAGGAGATATTTGTTGAGTTTCCTTTATGATCATAGGATAATAGAATGTTTAATAAGACATTTCAGAAAGATGAGATCCAGTCTCCTTCTCACCCACTCTCCACTTTAAAAAAAAAAAAAAACAGATGAAGAAACTAAGGCCCGAAGTGATGAAGTCACTTGCCCAATTCATACAGCTACTCATGGCAGTGTAAGAACTAGAACTTGTCTTCTGATGCTGTCTCATGCTCATTACCTAAAACATTTGATTTCTCATTTGTGCTCAATACTTTATGTCCCAGGTGCTATAAAATTATGGCCACTTAACGGAAATCTAACTATATTTTCCAATAGGAAAAAAAGAATGAAAGTAGAAAGTGTACAGAACATTAATTACATCCTGACATGAGGGAATTAATGAATCTCTCAATCTCTGTCAGTTATTTTAACACCTGGCTTAAGTGTGCATCCTTAAACAGTTTAGTTTTGCCTCTTTTGAAAACTATATATCTTACTTGAGTATGAGTAGAAATAAAACAAAACTATGTATCAAGTAAAGTGTACAGTAGGTAATCCTTTGAATTTTGTTTCTTTCCCTCATTTTTTAGCTCAATGTAAGATTGGTGTTATCTTTAGCTCTAGTTCATTTATTTCCATTACCGTATAAAATACCAATATATTGTCAATGTCCTTTAGCTAGAGACCATCAGACACACACCTGTAGTTGAACAAAGTTATATTTACTGACTTATTATAACAAGGGAAGCTGTACACCATAGAGAGTCATGGAGCATCTCAGTGAAACGGTGTTAGAAAGAACATATATTTGGTCTTGTGTTAGATGATTTGGGGGAGGTTTGAAGCAGAGTGCTCTGGATTGGATGTCATCATAAGTGGAGTTAACTCTATGATGAGTATATTGATAATTCTTATGTAGAAGGTGAGAGGAAAGGGGTGAGGCTAACTCTGTGATTGGTAAGTAAGCTGAAGTGACTAATACTAGCCAGGACAGAAAGATGTTTGGGCATTTTTGTGGATTGGACAATACTCTTTTTTGTCTGTATTTAGACACACTTATGGTGTGCTCTCATTTTCCTCTTGCTCCATCATAGTCATGGTATGGCCTTGTCTGATACTGGTGTCCTATGAAATCATTTTTTGTTCAACAGAAGATCACTATGTCCTAGCTGTGAGTGTCAGGCCAGCTCCTAGCTCTCGTGGACTGCTTTTGTCTTTTTCAGTATGAATGCAGCAAAATGCATTTACCTATTTTATTATTCTGCTGCTCATAGCATATCATTGTACGTGTCACTTTGTGCACATGTATACACATATTTTGGGGGGGAATATATACATAGAAGTAGCATTGATATCATAGGATATGTTCTTTTCAGCTTTACGTGATGTCACCAAACTGCTTTCTAAGAAGTTGTACTGGCTGGGCGTGGTGGCTCACGCCTGTAATCCCAACACTTTGAGAGGCCGAGGCAGACCAATTATGAGGTCAGGAGTTCAAGATGAGCCTGACCAACATGGTGAAACCCCGTCTCTACTGAAAATACAAAAATTAGCCAGGGATGGTTGTGCGTGCCTGTTATCCCAGCTACTCAGGAGGCTGAGGCAGGAGAATCACTTCAACCCAGGAGATGGAGGTTGCAGTGAGCAGAGATCGCGCCATTGCACTCCAGCCTGAGCCACAGAGTGAGACGCCATCCAAAAAAAAAAAAAGTTGTACTGATTTACACTCTCATCAGCAGTGCAACTTCTAGTTGCTCAAATTATTTCCAACACTTAGAATTACTAGTCTTTTAAAATTTTGACCATTCTGGTGAGTGACTGTGTTTACATTTCACTGATTAATTTGCATTTCTCATTAATTATTGATGAAGTAGACACTATTTAATATATTTGTAGTCATTGGAATATCATTTTTTGGGAAGTTTTTGTTCAGTTCTCTTGCCTTTTTTTAACATTGCATTGTTTACCTTTTTTTCTATTAATTTCTATTACTTCTTTATGTTCTATGAGTCCTGAATATATTAAAAAAGATGTTTATGCTTAGTCAATATACATAAACAGAGAATAGCCTTGAGCAATTTCGATAGAAAAAAAAAATGGAGTATACTACCCACTAATGTTATTTAGCATCATCAAAAAGGCTATTGGGGAGGTTTTTTTTAAAAGGAAATATTTATTTAGTGATTCACAAATTATGCAGAAGCTTCTGACATCCTAGGAAGTCTTAATACAATCAATTTCAAAATAATTCATCAAAAAAATTGTAAGTTAACAAATACATTCTTGGCTGGGTGTGGTGGCTCATGCTTGTGATCCTAGTACTTTAGGAGGCTGAGGCAGGAAGATCACTTGAGGCCAGGAGTTTGAGACCAGCCTGGGTAACATAGCAAGACCCTTGTCTCTACATACATACATACATAAATAAGGCATGGTGACAAAGCCTGTAGTCCCAGTTACTTGAGGGGAGAGCATTGCTTGAGGTCAGGAACTTGAGGTTACAGTGAGCTATGACTGTACCACTGCACTCCAGCCTGGGTGACAGAGTCAGTATCTGTCTCAAAACAAAAAAAATTCTTATGAGGTGAAGTTTAAGCAATGCTGCTTTTCTTTTTTTATTTTCTTTTTTTTTGTTAGTTTATTTTTAACTGACAGATAAAATTAATCATAGACAACATAGTATTTTGTAGCATATTTATATTGTAGAATGACTAAATTCAGCTAATTAACATATATATTACCTCACGTAGTTATTATTTTTGTGGTGAGAATATTTACCATCCATGTCTTGGGCATTTTTCAAGAATATGGTACATTGTTATTAACTATAGCCACCATGTTGAATAATAGATCTTTTGAACTTATTTCTCCTAACTGAAATTTTGTATCCTTTTGGCTCTCCAACCTCTCCTTCCTCATCCCAGCCCCTGGCAACCACCATTCTACTCTCTAGTTCTATGAGGTCAACTTTTTAAGATTCCACGTATAAATGAGGTCACACCATTATGAAAAACAGTATAGAAGGTCCTCAAAAAATTAAAAATAGATCTACCATAGAATCCAGCAATCCCACTACTGGGGATATTTTCAAAGGAAATGAAATCAGTATGTTGAAGAGATATCAGCACTCCCATGTTCATTGCAATATTACTCACAATAGCTGAGATATGGAATCAGCCTAAGTGCCCATCGGTGGGTAAATGAATAAAGAAAATGTAGTATATGTACATAATGGAATATTCTTCAGCCTTCACAAAGAAGGAAATCCTGCAATTTGTCACAACATGGATGAACATGAAGGACGTTATGTTAAGTGAAATAAGCCAGGCACAGAAATGCTGCTTTTCAATTCAGTTCCTCTGAATCTTAATCTGTTTGGTTAGCCCCAGGCGATTTATTAATATCTGCTAGATGGAATTAAAATCCAAAATATTTTCTTTTTCCTTGGAAAATGTTAGGACCTTTAAACATGGTGGCAGTTTTTTTTTTTTTTTTAAGCCTGTATACTTTCTGGTGAAGGTAAAATTGGGAACCCACAGACTAAATCTACAGCGTCGTAGCTTGTAAAGTCAGGATCAAAACCTACATGTTGGGAAGAGGGACAACCCACAGTTAGTAGGATATCATGAAGTTTTGGGAGAACAAAAATTCATTTCAAAACTGTATCTTAGTACTAACTTTTAAACTTCAAAAATCTTATTTCAAAATATTTCAGAGTTTTGGAAGAGTTACAAGAGTGTTTGTAATCACTTATGACTTACCCATTGGCTTACCTTAACTAAACTTTAATAAGGCTTCTCTTCTCCCCACAGGTCCCTGAACTTTAGCTGGCCCCAAAACTTGAGCAAGCTCTAAAAAGCAGAACATCTCCCACTTAACAGTTTATTCTGAGAACTGGCCAACCACAGGAGGGAAAATCATATCTCCAGTTAAAGTGCCCTGATCATGCCATCTGCTCATCCTACCCCCTTTGCCCTGCTCCCACACAAAGTTCCTGCTAGCCCTGTTTACGTCTTCTTTTTTAAACTCTTTTTTTAAAATTTGATTTTTAGACATTTGAAGATTTCCATGGTCAGAGGGTCTGTAATAGTCTTTTTTGAATAAAGCTGCTCCTTACCTAAATCCAGATTTGTTTTCATTGAATATAATAATAAATGACCATATTACTTTCACCTAGATTTATCAATTTTGCTACATTTGTACACTTTCTTTTTCATATTTATCTATTACTATATTATGTAATACATTATATATGCACATACATTATTCAAAAATAGTTATCTCTTCCACAGTTTTTATGGGAGATGTATACCTCTTCACTCCAATGGTGCTGAGTTTAGCTGCATGATATGCTTTGACTTTACATTGGGTTCACTATACTTCCCTACCTCTTGACTTTGGAGTTGGCCATATGAGTTATTTTGGCCCTCAATGGGACGTTAAGAGTGTTGTGGGTTGAATTTGTCCCCCAGAAAGATATGTTGAAATCCTAACCACTGGTTCTTGTGAATGTGACCTTATTTGGAAACAGAGTCTTAGCAAATGTAATCAAATTAAAATGAAGTCAAACTTGATTAGGGTGGGCCCCAAATCCAGTGACTGATGTCCTTATAAGGAGAGAGATTTTGGAGACTCATGGACACACATAGGGAAGAAGGCAACATGATGACAGAGACAGAGGTTGGACTGATGCTGCTACAAGGATTGTCCACAACCACCAGAAACTTGGTAGAGTCAAGGAAGGATCTTCCTCTATGCCTTCAGGGGGAGTGGAACCCTGCTGACTTCTTGATTTTGGACGTCTAGCCTCCACAACTGCAGGAGAATAAAATTCCACTGTTTTAAGCTGCTCAATTTGTAGTCATTTCTTGTGGAAGCCCTAAGGAAACTAATACACAGAGTGAAGCAAGTTGTGCTTGCATAATTGGGCTTGTCCTTTTGCTCTTCTGCTACTTTCATAAGAACATTCTCTGGATAGTCTATTGATAAAAGAGTGATGAAAGACACGTGGAACAGCACTGGACACAACCTACATATTGAAGCGGAGCATGGCTGATCTCAGCCTAAATCTTCTGACCCCAAGATGCATCAATGGGAATCAATGTTGCTTTGAGCTACTAATTTTTGAAGTATTTTGTTGCACTACATTCTATGACAATAGCTAACCTATGTAATATGTAAACATTTTATTTTGGCATAGTTAGCTGTAGACATTATGATATCATTCCTAAATATCTCAACAGGTACCTCTTACAAACAGGGACAGTATCCTTCATAACCTCAATACAAATTATCACACTCAGGAAGTTTAACATGAATACAGTGCTATTATCTAATACATACTTCATATTCTAATTTCCCCAGTTGTTCCAAGTATGTTCTTTGTGCTGGTTTTTTTTTTTTAATGTAGGATACAATCAAGGATTGCACATTGATTTTAGTTGTTATGTTTCTCTAGTTTACTTTAAACTGAAACAGGGAAAACATTTTTATGATGCTGTTTTTTAATGACACTAACTTCTTTTTCATGACACCGCTGTTTTTATTTAGTTAGTTATTTATTAAAAAAACTTTTATTGTAGGTTCAGGGGTACATGTGCCGTTTTATTATACGGGTAAACTCATGTCATAGGGGTTTGTTGTACAGATTATTTCATCATTCAGGTACTAAGCCTGGTACCCAATAGTTATTTTCTCTCATCCTCTCTCTCTTCCCACCCTCTACCCTCAAGTAGGCTCCAGTCTCTATTCTCCCTCTTTAGGTCCATGAGTTCTCATCATTTAGCTCCCACTTATACATGAGAACATGCAGTATTTGGTTTTCTGTTCCTACATTAGTTTGCTAGAGATAATAGCATCCAGCTCCATCCATGTTGCCATAAAAGACATGATCTGGTTCTTCTTTATAGCTGCATAGTAGTCCATGGTGTATATGTACCACATTTTCTTTATTCAATCTGTTATTGATGGGCATTTAGGTTGATTCCATGCCTTTGCTATTGTGAATAGTGCTGCAATGAACATTTGTGTGCATGTGTCTGTATGGTAAAATGATGTATATTTCTTTGGGTATATAGCCACTAATGGGATTGCTGGGTCAAATGGTAGTTCTGATTTTAGCTCTTTGAGGAATCACCACATTGCTTTCCACAATGGTTGAACTAATTTACACTCCTACCAACAGTGTATAAGTGCTCCCTTTTCTCTGACACTTCATCAGCATCTGTTATTTTTTTACTTTTTAATAATAGCCATTCTGACTGGTTTGAGAGGGTATCTCATTGTGGTTTTAATTTGCATTTCTCTAATGATCGACACTGATGTTTTTAAAGAGTTGTTTTACAGTATATCCCTCAATTTGGAATTTTTTGTTGTGTTTACCCTTGGTTAGATTGAGGTTAAATATTTTTGCAAAAATACCACATAAGTGATATTGTGTTCTTCTCAATGTATCACATCAGAGGGCATATGATGTCATTTTATTCCATCACTGGTGATATTAAGTTTGGCAATTTGGTTATAAAATGGTGTCCATCAAATTTTTCAGTTGGATAGGTACCTTTTAATTCTTTTTATAATTAATTAGTGATCTGTGGAGAGATTTGAAACTACGAGGATATGCTATTCCCAAAACAATTTTATTAACCATTGATTTCCAACATCCATGAATGATCCTTGCCTTGAATAAATACATATTTGTATATATATATATAGTATAAGTGTATGTGCATACGTATATCTATATGGGATCATGAGACTTACACTTTCAATACATTAATACAGATATCTTTATTTTCCTCCCCTACTTCATATTTTGTATTTTCCTTGTCCCAAAGTGAGAAGCCTTAGTTCACAACAGCATCAATATATTTACCCATCAAAATAAATCTCAAGATATACATTAAAGAATTTTGGAATTATTACACTATTACCTAAGTGCTAATTAACTTTTTTGAAAATCCACTCAGGGAGGCAAGAGAAATGTACTTAGTCGCATATTGAATAACAAATTCTTTTTACCCAATGTTCTTTCCTTTAAGACTCTACATTTTCTGCTTATAAAATTAGTTTAGATCAAAATTGATTCTAACATTAATGTAAAATGTATTGTTTATTTTTATTCATCTTTAAGTCATAGGTTTAAATGTTTCTGAAATTGTTCTGATGATAATTTTTTCACTATTTTCAACTTCTTTTAGAAAAAAAATACCTTAACTAAAATATTGGAGCATCTCTTCTGATTTGTTGCTTCTACTATTGTACCCAAAGTTCAGGTAGTTTTAAAATTTTAATATTGATAATATTTATTGTAATAGTAATTTTAACAGGCAGGTTAATATTTGGGGTCACCTCTAATTTTCATTCATATATACCTTTTAAGCCTGAAAAAAAAAGTCTATTTTTAGGAGTAGGTGTATTTTGAAACATTGAGGTCACACCTGCAGTTGTAAACTTTAGTACTATTTTAAAATTTTATTCTTCCATTGTGTCTTTTCATGCTTTTAAGGTTTCTTATTCATATTAGCAGAAACAGGATGCTTTGGTGGATAGAAGTCCTTTTTAGGCAGCTCAGTTTATTGCAGCTGCTCTTGATCTCCCATCTGTTGCTTTAAATGAGAATGCCTCTTATTGCTCAACCTGTGCATGTGCGTATAAAGTTTCCTTCTCCCACAGTAACACAAGAAGCCATAATATAAACCAATACCACTTATAGACTGGATTTGTAGTACACTCTTGTTTAAAACAGATGTCTTTCATCTTCTTACTATTCATGCTTTTTTTCATATTGGTAGAACAGGCTATGGATGTCTTTCCAGGAAATCTGACAAGTGTTTGGAAACGTCTCAATTTAATCAAATAGAGACTATATTAGAGTGATAATTCTTTCCCTTGATAAGCACTTATCAATTTCTCCTTTTTATAGAAAATTCAGTTAACACCAAAATCAGTACCTACATTTTTATTGAAATTAATATCTATTCAACAAAATTTTGTTTTAAACCTTAAAACAGAAATGGTAACTTTTATGTTAAGTAACTATGCTATTATATTTTTATTCTATGTTAAGACCCATAGAAGAGTAAATGAGAAAATAGCTATAAGAAAAGGAAATACTAACTGGGCTGGTTGACTTATAAAACCAAATGTGCCCTGGGATGGGTCTTTTTTCTGAGAGTGGTAAGATTGTTTGCTTGGGAAAGAATTTTATTTCACTCTCAACTTGCTAGAATTGATTTTACACTGTAACCCATACACCTGAACATACAGTAAGACTCTGAAACAACACTTGAACAAGGTATTTCCCCTATTTTTTCTTGCTATTTATCAAGATCTGTACTTACAAAGCAACTTAAGGTTTCCTCCTCTGAAGCTGGATGTATGTAATTCACAGTAACTTAATCATCACTGTGTAAAATAGTGTAAATAATATACACAGACTAAAAGTAATAAACATACCATAAATTTTCTGTATTTTTAGCACTCTGATAGTTTATGTATTAGGCTTGGAAAAAATAAAAAACAAGAGTTTTCATCCTAGAATTCCCACCACCTCTTACCAATTCCTAAATATAGTCACACTTTTCATCTTCCAGAAACTGAGATCAGAGTAGCACTCTCGGCTAAGCTTCCTGGAATATTTTTGGCTAACAACATAGTGCTTCCTTAGTATTTCTTTCAGTAAAATATACCCTGTGGAAGTTTTAGTAAATATTTCTAAATACCTATATATACAGATACTTTAAAAATACCTATTTGATTACAAGATGTGTTGGAAAAAATGCTTGGAGAAATTTAAACATATTCGTAAATTATTTTGAGTAGAAGCGAGAGATCACTCTGAAAATTCTAAATTTTTCCATTTCTCTTTAAAAATAGGCAGATCTCTCAAAAAAACCACTTCCTGACGCCCCAAATCTTCAATTTGTGTCTTTTAAGTTTTAAGTCTTAATCCAAAGAACCCTTTACACTTTATCAATAGCATTTTCCTCATCTGCCACCAGGTGGCAGGTGGATCCACTTTTCGGAACGCGACCCCGACCCCGCCCTACCGGAAGCTGTCATGTAAAGGAAATCTCTCTGGCCACGCCCAGAGTTCAGCACCATGGCCACGGACAGCGACACCGCCCAGTTCGGTCCCATGACTCGCTGCAGAGATTTTCACCACACAAAGGAAATGGCCAATCCCAACTGGTTCCAAGGGTCGCGTGACTGGCTAATTTACAATGCCAGAGGTGGAGGGGGGTAGGAACCCCTTGTTTTGGGATTTTTAGCCTGGAGGAGGAACAGACTGATATTAAATAATACACCATATTGCAAAATCCTGTGGTTGTTTTTCTCTCTCTACTCTCCAGAATCTCAGTGACTCGTAAATGCTGTCTTGCTGTACAGGGTAAAGGGGCTAGATTACCCAACCTCCGTGTGTTGGTTTATTCCGACAAAATGCGTAAGACAGCAAAGGCGGTACAAAAGTCAGTGTGCGTTATGGCGGCCAATACCTCGGCTTGCACAAAGCTGCCTGTCAGCTTTCCTAAGACACCAGCACTGGGACGGACTACATTTGCTTTTTCTCGATTTCCAATTAATTAATCTCGGAAACACAAACAGCAGCTGATTTTTTTGTTGTTGTTGTTCGCTTGAAATTACTATTTAAGGCAAAGACACTGGAGTGAAACACGAGTGTGTTCTAGAAGTAATGGTTTAGTTGTTATCTTCAGTTGCTTAGCGACTAATTAGACAAGAAGAGAACTTGTGGGTGGGGATTATTTGCGTTTTAGAACGGCAGAAACCAGGGGCAAATGAAAATGAGTTCAGGGGCTAGCGTTTAGAATCAATCTAATTAAATCTCAGTGCTGGGGAAGTAAGCAGCGCTAAAGAGGAACAGTAGGCAGTTAAGGTTCACAGGTGGGTTAAATTAAGCCGAGTTTTTGTTGTAATTTTTCCGTACCATATGGATTGCTTTCTCATTCCCCGTTGTTTTGGCGGCGACAAATTCGGATCTTTAACCAGCAGAGGGCGAGTCGACTGCATTTTTCAGCCCTCAGACACTCCCTCTTCCTCCCTTCTCTGCCCCTGGGAAATTAATTTACTAAGCTCTTCAAATACAGACGAAGCTGAGGAAGGTGTTGTGGAAGGCGAGCAGCGCGCAGGACTTGGCAGAGTGCCCGCCCTGTCAGCCTTGGATGTGTGGCTGCACCGCACTCCTGACGACACGGATCTCCTTGCTTGGGGCTGCAGAGGGGATTGCAGGGGTTGTTGCAGTAGGAAGCGGGGATGAAAAGCACCCCCATGCCCAGACGCCATAGATATTTAGGATCACTAGCTTCAGAGAACTGAGAGGGCCAGAGGTAGCCTAATAAAATGAATGTAAACCATGAAGTTGGAAAAGAGGAAAGAAACCGTTTACGTCTCAGGGCCAATACTCAGTGAGCTGGAACAATAACCAAAAGGGAGGGGCTCTGCTCTGGCTTTGCCTTTCTGGGAAGAAAAATTGGAGGATGAGGAGTAGGGAAAGGGAGAAGATGAGGGCAAAGACTAAAAGTTTGGCTGAGTCATCTTTAAAAGACAAGCAAAGCAAGCCAGCCCAAGGGAAGAGACAATGAAAGCAAGCCTGCCAGAATGCATTGCAGAGCAATAAAGCATGCTGTACAAAGTTAATTTATTGTTGGGCGGAGCCCTCCTCATTCTGGAGGGGCATACCACTTGCTCCAGAGGGATGATTTACTTTGTATTGTAAGACTTTGTAGAATCCCCCTGGCAGGCAGCCAGAACTCCCATTAATTCAGCATGTCCTTTCTCCTTCACATATTTATGTCTCAGAATTCGTCTAACTCGGTTTCAAACTAGTAAAATTAATTTTTTCTGGAGGCACTAAACTAAATTTTATGCAGTATTGCATTTTCTCTCCTTCAGTCATTAAATTTCTGTAGTGCTTGTGTTTAAAGGACACCATTTTATTAATAAATTCAATTCATAAGATAGTATTATATTCCCTTGGAGTTGGTATTGGAGAGGACAACAGTAAGATATCTTAAGATAGATCAACACTTTTCAGAATGCATGATTTGACTCACAGTTTCATGGCCAATTTTACAGATAAATTGCACTGTCATGGTGTTTTGCAGCACACCTGTGTTTCTGTAGCATTTCCCCTGTAAAAGAGCACTTGTAAATTTCCAGTGCATACACCCAAAATTTATTCATGTTGTTTCAAGATCCAAACAAGTGCCTAGTAGTATTGGCTAATATAATCTCCCCATAGAAACAAGAATTATCTTTTTAAAACCTAAGTACTAAGTCAGTGAGCAGGCACTTAATGAAAGAGAATATCCAAATAGCCAATAAGCATATGAAAAGGTTTACAACATCCTTAACTGTTAAAGAAATGGAAATTTAAGCCACAACTAAAAGCCTGTATCCATCCAAGAGCATGGCTAAATAAATAAATAATAAAAGCTGACATTTTCAAGCCTTGGAAAGGATGAAGCAACTCCAACTATCACACAGTACTGGTGGAGTGTAAATTGTTACAATCACTCTGAAAAGCTGGCAGCAATTTACTAAAGTTCAATAAAACATACCCGTAGATATGCACTCTTAGGTATACATCCAACAGAAATGCCTACGTGTATGTACAAAAAGACATAGACAAGAATGTTCATCATAGCTCAAACCTGGAAGCAATCCAAATGGATAAAGATGTTGTTGTTGCCATATACAGTAACATACACAGCAATGACAATTTTTTAAAAACTACTACATGCAACAATATGTATCAGCCTCACAGACATAATGCAATGTTTAGCAGGAAAAAAATCAGAAACAAATTTTTCTATGATTCTATTAATTTAAAGCTCAATAATTGTATAAACTACCCTAAGATGATTAAAGTGAGGATAGTGGTTGCCTCGATGGAGATAAAGACTGGAATGGGGAATGAGGGAGACTTCAGGATTTGGTAATATTCTATTTCTTGACATGAGTGTATTCACTGCAAAAATCTATTAAACTGCACACTATGATTTGTGCATATTAAGTATGGTATATTGCAATAAAAATATACTAAAAAATTTTACTGATGCAAATTGTATGTATTTATGGAGTACATGTGATAGTTTGTTTAAAAGACATAAGACAGATTATGTTGCACCCATGCTTAAAACAATTCAATGTCTTCCCATTGCATTGAGAGTAAAATCTAGATTCCTTAATATGGCCTACAAGGCCCTGCATAAACAAATCCTATCTAAATTTCCAATCTTATTAACCACTTCCTCCCTCAATTACCACACTTCAATTGCCCTGACCTTCCAACAGTTCCTAGAACATTAATCAATCTCTTTTCAGTCTTGGGGTCCTTGAGCTTGCTGTTTTCTTTACCTGGAGTGGGTTATCACCAGCTCTTTGCATGACATGTTCCTTCTAATATGTCAACTCAGATTAATGACGTCTCTTTAAAGAAGCTTTCCTTGACTCCCATCTAAAATCTCTGGGTTATTTTTCTATTTGCTGCCGTGACAAATTGTCACAATGTTAATTTCCCCTTGCTATGTAATATATTCACAGGCGTCAGGACTAGGATGTAGGCATCTTTGAGGGGGACATTATTCTACCTGCCACAGTGCACTTCTTTTATTGATTATAACATTATGCTTATTTTGGTAGAGCACTAATCACAATTTTAAATAACTTTATATATATTTGTTTACTTGTTCACTGTCTAACTTCTCCACTCTAATGTAAATTCTAGTGAGAGCAGAGACCGTATCTGTCCTGTTCTCTTCTGTTTTCCTGGTGCTTAGCATGATAATTGGTACATTGTAGGGGTTCAGTAGGAATTTGTGGAAATAATAAGTAAATTATAAAAATTTAGACTCTGCTTTGATACTTAACAGCCCTGTTTGCTTTTTATCGTTCTTGCTCATATAAAAATATATATTATGTCTCGGCAGTAGAGAAATTTCTGAAGAGATATTAGCATAGATTTTTTTCAACTTCTCCATCATACTAACTCACTATAAAAAATCATGCCTACAGATATGGGCCCATATATGTCATATAGGCCCATATCTGTAAATTGATTGTAAAAATTTACACTCTACCCTATATAGCTTCATATATGTATATACATATATCTTCATAATATAACTTTATGTTTTATTGGCGTTAAAAGGATAGTTCATAAATTGCCACTTCATGGAAAATAGCACATCATAGGACTCATGAAGCTGAAGCAAAAATACTCTAGAATAAAGAGTTAGAATTTGTTACAGTCACATGAGAAAAAATATGGTACATGGGGCTGTAAGTCTGATCCTATGATGTAGCTAGAAAAACAGTTATCTGTCATCAAATAATCATTGCTTATTTCTCTTTTGCCGGGTTGTAATACCAGATACCAGAAAATTTAAAATACTTGTTAATTTATTCATTTATTCAGCAGATATTTATTGAGCACCTATGAAGTGCCAGACACTAGACTCTGGGCATATAGCATCAATAATATATGGTATGCATTATTAGGGAACCCCTGCCTTTAGGGAGCCCAAAAATAGATACACAATATTATATGAAATAGTGGCAAATGTTATAAAGGAGAAGGGGGATGATGAGAAACCAATTAAGGGTTTTTAATGGAGATTTGATTTACATTATAAAAAGATAAGTCTGGCTGTTGTATGGGTAGAAGAAGGGAAATTCATTAGAAGCTCATGGCAATAATGCAGGCCAAAGATAATGGTAGTTTGTACAAGGGTAGGGGTGCTGAAGAAGTTTAAAAAATTGGTTGGGTCTGGAACTTTTTTTTTTAATTGGCATGATTTCATGATGGATTTAATGGAAAATGAAATAATAAAAAAAGAATGCTCTCTGTTTTGAATATCTTAGTGATTGGTGGTGTCATTACTAACATGAGGAAAGTTAGGGTTAGTTTTGGAATGGAAAAATCAACAATTTTATTTTGGACATGCTAAATTTAAAATGCTTGTTAAACATCTAAGTCATATCAAGTGGGCAAATGAATATTTGGATCTGGGGACTTAGAGGAGATACTATATCTACAAATATGAATTTTAAAGTAAAGATTAGGAAAACTATAAAGCAATGAAATGAGGTCACCTGGAAAATTCACGTAGATAGAGAAGATGGTGAATCCTAGCACACATCAGCTTTAGAGGTCTAGAAAATGGAAAGAAGCCAGCAAAGGAGACTGAAGGAGGGAATGACCAGTGTGGTAGGAGGAAATCCAGGAAAGAATGTCCCCTGAGAACCATGTGGAGAAACTGTTTGAAGGAGAAAGGAAATACTGCTTTAGTTTAGTAAAATGAGGCTTGAGATAGAAAGATGGAAACCTCTTGTGACCTTGGCAGAGCAGATTCAATGAAGTAGTAAAATAAAAACCTGATCTAATATGATAATCCATTATGAAAATATTACAGAGCTTGAGTTCATTGTAAATAATGCTACTTGAAGTAGAGGTCATATGAATTGCTAAGATTGATGGTCTATATGCATATAATTAATTAACTTCTAAATTCACTATTTCTTAGTATTAGTAGATCAAAGTATATAGATTGTTTTACTGTAATGATGGCTGCCTAAAGGGAATATTGAGTCATAATTTCTTCATAGCTCTGAAGATACTATTTAATTCTATGATTTGTAACAATGAAAATAATAGTTTTAAATTCTTCCCTTCTTCTGAGATATTACAAATACCTACTCTGGGCCTCAAAATAGAAAAATAAGCTTCCTTTGTGAAGAGCTCTTTGTTAAACTTCCTATTTTACTGAGGACTCCATATGATGCACTGATGTTTGCAAAAGAGTTCTTTTATTACTTGTGTTTGTACCATGATGAGGCTGTTTCCAATAATTGTTGTAATTACTAGGTCTCCTAATCTTGCAAATTGTCCACTCTACAAAGCTCAGTTCCATCTGATGGGCCCAGTAAAGGAGCTTTAGAATGCTGTCACCTGAGCCAGCTCTTTTCCACAGCATTGTTCAATCAAGGGACTTCTCTTCTAAAGATTGTTTTTTACCTAACACTCAATCACCACTCTAGTCATTCAGTTACTAAATATTATTAGGCATCTCCTATGTTTGGCCTCTCCTGGAGTCAGAAAATGTAATGTCGAATGAGATGGATCCCATCCTAGCCTCACAAAACTTAGATCCTAATGGGTAAGACAGACAAAAAAATTGTTACAGCAAATATGTTACAGACCGCCAGCATAAGAATACAGGGTAATAGAAGAACTCAAAACTACAGATGGGAAATGGGAGGCTGGGAAAGGC
This sequence comes from Homo sapiens, assembly GCF_000001405.40. Taxonomy (NCBI): domain Eukaryota; kingdom Metazoa; phylum Chordata; class Mammalia; order Primates; family Hominidae; genus Homo; species Homo sapiens. The sequence continues at coordinate 270,261 of NW_025791778.1, read as the reverse complement.
TGGGCTCTGAAAGATGAAGAGTTATCTAAGCAAAGAGGAAGGAAAACAATTGCAAAAAGCTTGTACAAAGATTTAGAAGCAATGAAAGGATAGTGCATTTGAAGAACACTGTGGAAAAGGGAATAAAATTTATCATTATTTTTCTCTCCTTTAGGGTGACTTGCTTTAATACTTCTTAGTGACCTTCAAACCACCTTAAAAATTGATTATTCATTGTCAGATTTTATTTTTTGCTTGTAAAGGCTATTTATTTTTGTGTAGTAATCAGTATTCATTAGCTAATAAATATTATGATAGTGCTTATCTGTATTAGCTAATATTTCTCTATTATATAATATATAAACTATAAAAATATATAATATATAAATTATAAAAATATATTACCTAATATATAAATTATAAAAATATACAATATATAAATTACAAAAATATTATATAATATATAATAATTAGAGAAATATTAGCTAATACAGATAAGCACTATCATAAGGTGATAATCAATTTTAGTAATATTTTTGAAATTCTTTTCAGATAATTTTCGAACATTTTAAAAGTATTATTCTCTAACTCTTCCAAGATTGCCTAACCACTCCAATTTTTCATTAATTCACTCTCATGAGGCTCTAAGGGGTTTCTGTACAGATTAAGCATTTCCTCTTATTCCAATTCCATAATATGAATCATGATGAATATAATAATTTATCAAGAAATATTTAATAAGTGATGCTTTATTTCTAATATGCTCTGAGTATAACTGAAAGAAATTCAATTTTTCTAAGATTTAATAAACTCAAGATAACACCTAACTGATGATTCATTCTCTTATTATTCCTGGAAATCTGGGTGTGGAAGAGGTAAATGAAAACACATAATTAGGTGTTATGCAGAGTTTAAATTATAATTTTTTTTCTGTGCAAAAGAGAGACCCGGTATAGTTTTAATTTTACATATAAGGAAACTGAAGGCCAGAAAAGTAGAATGTCCAATATTACACCTCAAGTTAGCAAAAAAAAAAAAAGTCCTGGAAATCAGATTCTGACTCAAGTCTAGTGCTTTTCTCATTATGATAATATCTTTGTTCCTCATTTTTTCTTTTTCTTTTCTTTTCTTTTTTTTTTTTTTTTTTGAGACAGGGTCTCACTCTGTTGCCCAGGTTGAAGTGCAATGGCATGATCATGGCTCAGCAGCCTAGAACTCCTGGGCTCAAGCGAACCTCCTGCCTCAGCCTCCAAAGTAGCTATGACTACAAGTGCCTGCCATCAGACCTGGCTAATTTTTTGTTTGTTTGTTTGTTTTTGGTAGAGACAGGGTCTCACTGTGTTGCCCAGGCTGGTCTTGAACTTCTGGCCTCAAGTGATCCTCCTGTCTTGGCCTCCCAAAGTGTTGGGATTATAGGTATGAACTACCACACCTGGCCTCAAAGTGCTTTTGATCTTTAAAAGTTTGAGGGCCACTGCTTAGAAATCCATTTGTTTAGTCAATAAATATTTATAAAGGACCTATGACATTTTAGGATTGTTCTAGGTATTGGGGATACAGCAGTGAATGATTGACAAAAATTTCTGCTTTCTGGGAACTGGAGAGATCATCAGATCACTGATACCAGCTGGGATATTTATAGGACTGGATACATTTGAATTTCTGGTATGTGCACATGTACATGTGTGTGTGTATTCAGCTGGTTTCATTTACATTTGAGTATATGAAGATACAATTTCCATGCAATAAAACTCATTATTTTAAGGGTACAGTCTGACAAGTTTTGACGAACATACATAGTCATTTAACTACCACCACAATAAAAATATAGAATATTTTCATTACCCCGAAAAGTTCTTTCATGCCTCTTTGTATTTAATCCTTTACCCCACCTGCAGCTTCTGATAAAACTGATCTGATTTCTATCCCTGTTTAAATGGAGTCACACAGTAGGTACCTTTTGCAGCTAGCATTTTTCATTTAGCATAATGCTTTGAGATTCATCCACCTTATTGCATGTATCCGTAGTTGGTTCATATCCATTCGTCTCCAATGTTCAGTAATTGAGCTTCAGTTTTCGCATCCTGAGCACAAAGACCAGGTGAAAAGATTTTGAATCAACTAGTGTAGGAAGTCTAGTAGGAGATTCATCAAAGGAGAGACCCTGAGATGAATATAACTTAGTGTTAAGTGAACTAGATATGACTTCCACCCAGGGACTACCAAAAATCCCTAGCTGAAAAATCTGACTGTTCCTGAGACTAACTGTAGGGGCAGGATGGTGGGGAATAGGGATCACAACTAGGGATCTGGAACCGCTTGTGGCTTTCATGTAGGGTTTTTTTTTTTTCCTTAATTGAAATATTGTATCTTATTTTTTTAATTTTTAATTTTTGTGGGTACATAGGTATATTATTTATTCTCATGTAGTTTTGAAGCTTGTATTCACTAGACATGGATAGTTGGGAAAAGAAACAAAACTTCAAGTTGAAAATATAACTTTATGTTGATCTCAAACTTGTAGTACCCCTGGAGCCTGGACAAAGCAAGTACAAATTATCTCTAGAATAATCCACCTTTAACCCAGGCTTCAAATAATTTCTAAATATAGAATTCTAAGGAAAGTGAGCGATTTACCATAAAAAAAACCAATGTCACAAGATACTAGATTGAGATCCAGCAGAAATAAAAACAACTGAAGCAGGCATACAGTGACTTCAGATAATGAAATTATTGAATACAATATAAAAAGATTATATTTAATATATTTAAAGAAATAAAAGATGAGTTTGAAAATAAGCAGAGGGAAAACATCATGAGGAATGAGCAAGCATATTTGGATGAAGAGCACATAAAACTACAAATACAAAAATGTAATAAATAAAAGTTTAAAATTCAGTTAGTAGGTTTAAGAACAAATCAGACATGAATGAAAAAGAATAATAGACTAGAAGACAGGCAGACTGTAGGAAAGACAGAAAAAAGATAGAGATTATAAAAAGAGTTTAAAAGACATAGAAAATGGAGTGAAATGATAAACATAGGTATAATTGCAGTCTCTGAAGGATAAAAGAGGAGTAGAAGCAACATTTAAAGAGATAATTAATTAGAATTTTTCATAATACCAAATCACAAATTCAGAAACCAAATGAATCTCATATAAGATAAAAACAAATAATCACATACATATAGCATAGTATAATTGCAGGACAGTGAAAATGAGAAAGATTATCTTAAAATAGATATAGAAGAGAGATTTCTTAAAGTGGTGACAGACTTCAGCACCATAGGAAAGGTAAATTTTTTTAAAAAATTTAAAAAATAGGATGGACGCTGTGGCTCATGCCTGTAATCCCAACATTTTGGGAGGCCAAGGTGGGTGGATCGCTTGAGGTCACGAGTTCAAGACCAGCCTGGCCAACATGGTGAAACCCTGTCTCTACCAAAAATACAAAGATTAGCCAGGTGTGGTGGCCAGTGCCTGTAATCCCAGCTACTTGGAAGGCTAAGGCAGGAGAATCGTTTGAGCCTGGGAGGTGAAGGTTGCAGTGAGCAGAGAGATTGCACCACTGAACTCCAGCCTGGGTGACAGAGTGAGACTTTGTCTCAAAAATAAATAAATAAATAAATAGTAAATAAAGTAGTGACAGACTGAGAATGAACTCAGCAGCAAAAGAGGAACGTGAAGACAATGGAATGATATTGTCAATGTTCTGATATAAAATAAAGTTAATCTAGAATTCAAAGCCTAGCATAAACATGGAGAAACCCCGTCTCTACTAAAAATACAAAATTAGCCGGCCGTGGTGGTGCATGCCTGTAATTCCAGTTATTTGGGAGGCTGAGGCAGGAAAATCGCCTGAACCCGGGAGGCGGAGATTCCCGTGGGCGGAGATTGCCGTGAGCCGAGATCGCGCCATCGCACTCCAGCCGGGGCAATAAGAGCCAAACTCCATCTCAAAAAAAACCTCAAAAGCAAATATGAAATAAAGACATTTTCAGACCCCAAAAAACGAGTTTGCCACCAACAGACCATACACTAAAGCAATTCTAAAAATTACACTTCAGGCAGTATCTCCTTTTTAAGGCTGAATAATATCCCATGGCATATATTTGTATCACCATTTCTTTGTTTGTTCATCAGCCAATGGACAATTGAGTTGTTTCCATACTTTGGCTCTGTGAGTAATGCTGCAATGAACATGGGAGTGCAGATATCTCTATGAGGTTATGATTTTATTTTCTTTAGGTATACATCCAGGAGAAGAATTGCTGGGTCATATGGTAGTTCTATTTTTAATTTTTTGAGGAATATCCATACCATTTTCTTTAATGGCTATACCAATTTATATTCCCACCAGCAGTGTACAAGTGTCCCTTTTTCTCTAAATTCTTACCAACACTTGCTATCTCTTGTCTATTTGATAATAGCCATCCTAAGAAGGAGACACTGCCATTTACAACAACATGGATGAAACTATGGGATATTATACTAAGTGAAATAAGCCAGACACAGAAGGAGAAATACTGCATGATCTCACTTATATGGAGAATCTAGAAAAAAATCAAATACAGGCCGGGCACGGTGGCTCACACCTCTAATCCCAGCACTTTGGGAGGCCAAGGCGGGCGGATCATCTGAGGTGGGGAGTTCAAGACCAGCCTGGCCAACATAGTGAAACCCCCTCTCTACTAAAAAACTACAAAAATTAGCCAGGCATGGTTGCGGGCGCCTATAATCTCAGCTACTTGGGAGGCTGAGGCAGGAGAATTACTTGAACCTGGGAAGCTGAGGTTGCAGTGAGCTGAGATCACGCCACTGCACTCCAGCCTGGGCGACAGAGTGAGACTCTGTCTTAAATAAATAAATAAATGAAACATAAATAAAAAAGAAAATGCCATCATGATTATGTAGGAGAATGTCGTATTCTTAGGAAGTGTATGCTGCTTTATTTAGCAGTGATGTGTCATGTCTAAAACATACTTTGAAATGATACACCAAAAATTACACAGAGAGGAAGGAAGAGAGTGAAGGACAGAAAGGGAGACAGGGAAGGAAAGGTTAAGGGAGAGAGAAAGAGAGAAGTAAATGTGGCCAATGTTAAATGGTGAATCTTGATGAAAGGAGTATAGAGGTTTATTTTACTATTCTGTTGACTTTTCTATAGGTTTGAACTTTTTAAAATAAATAAAATTGAGCATTGCAATGATCTTTTCAGGCCAAGTACTAATTTCTAAAATGAAGAATAGTGGTTTCAAATGAAGTCATTTGAACCTACAGCCAAGTAGCTATGAGTACTAATTGTTTAAATATAATTATCTTAAAACTTGGGCCGGTTGCAGTGGCTCACCCCTGTAATCCCAGCAATTTAGGAGGCTCAGGCAGGTGGATCACTTGAGGCCAGGAGTTCAAGACCAGCTTGGCCAACATGGTGAAACCTCATCTCTACTAAAAATACGAAAATAAGCCGGACATGGTGGCGTGCACCCGTAATCCCAGCTACCTGGGAGGCTGAGGCATAAGAATCACTTGAACCCGAGAGGTAGAAGTTGCAGTAAGCCAAGATCACACCACTGCACTCCAGCCTGGGCAACAGAGCAAGACTCTGTCTCAAAAATATAATATAATATAATATAATATAATATAATATAATATAATATAACATAATATAATATAATATAATGTAATAATTTTTAAACTATAAAACAGAAATTAGAGGAGAAATTGGAGATAGTCAGTATAGGGAACACTTTCAAGGAATTTTTTGTATAAAGAAGAGAGAAATGTGCAGTAGCTGGAAGGAAAAACGAGGTCAATAAATAGTTACTTTAAGATGTGAGAAATAACAACATGCTTGTATGGTGATGGGAAAGATCCAGTAGGAAAGAGAAAATTGATAATACAGTGGTGGTAGAAAGCAATGTCCTTGAGTACATGACACAGGGAGTTCATCTAGTAGTCACAGAACATAACATACAGTACAAGAGAACAAAGGCAGGTCAGTAGGTCAATGAGATAAGACTTATGGGCAGCTCCTCTGATCACTTCATTTATCAAATTTATTTGAAGTTAGATGCTCTACTGATGGAGGAGTGGGAGGAGTGCTGAAAGTTGGAAAGACATCAGAATGTAGGAATTGGTCAAGGTAGGATGGATGCAGACGAGAGAGTAAATGGGCTAGGAAAATACTATATAATTGCCAGACAACGTTAAGGGCCACTTGAGATTTGTAATCACAAATATAAAATAAGAACAGCTAGCAATATTGTGATGTTTTTCTCCTGCTACATTAACATATGTGAATACAAGCCTGATGTGGGCAAAGTTTTAGGTTTACAAGTCTTTGAATTTATAAATCTAGTTTTTGATTTATGAAGCTTCGGATTTTTATAAGCAAGTATATTAAAGTGAGGGAGGATCATGGATTTTAAGGTATATAAAATGCAGTGATTATAATGATTGACCCCAGACTTTTCACTGGATAAAAAGAATTAGGACATGAAGGTGGTAGGGATGACGAAAAGATGGTAGGACTAATAGATTTTATGTATTGGAATGGTTGGCATTATTTTCGGGTCTTAGAGGGAGTAAGCTGGGAAAATTGTAGGGGGCAATTAGAAAGTTTGATGCTTGAAATTGATACTTAGAAATTAGGAAAGTGTTGCAGTCACTGATAACATAAAGATATTTGACCTTAGATGGGAGTAGGTAGCTGAGGTCAGTAGAGCACTGGGTAATTCAAGGAGAGAAGGTCAAGGAATGGAGAAGGTAGGCTGTTAGAAGAAACATCTATGTGGATATTGAAATCACCAAGTATTATGTTTAGAATAGTACTAGAGAAGATATTGAGCCAGCAGGTAAAATCATCAAGAAATGACAGTGAGTGACATGGGATCAGGAGATGACTGCTACAAGGAGAGGTAGTGGGTGTTAAAATTTGACCGCATGAGATTCTAAGCTGAATGTTGTTAGGCAGAAGGGAGATAGGGAGATCTGGAAGTGGCAAGGTGGGGGGCAAGGTAGGGTGATACAGAAGTGGCAAGTGGTAGGATGATCTGGAAGGAGCAGGGAAGATAATTTCTTACTTCTAGGCCCAGTGGGATTAAAGGCTAAGGAAAAATCACAGCTACATTTTGAGAAGAATAATGGAAATAATCTCCTTAGGGAGAACCAGTGTTCGGTTTAAACAAAGACAGCAAATTTTCAGAAAAGAGGCTGCAAACATAGGGAATTTTGCTAATGACTGACCACAGGGCATAATACAAAGGCTTCAGGAGTTAAGGAAAGATAGAAATAGCGTAAAAAAAATCTACAGAACAACATGGGATTTACTCTCTGAGTGAAAGGAGATGGTCGGGGAGTTCTGAACTTTTGGAAACTGGCATAAACCACGACCTTAATGTTGATGGTCACATAGTGATGGTAAGGCTATAAGTTGGGGGTGAAGGATTTGGATCGTGTCACAAATATACTGAATTCTGGGGCTCTCGCTTAGCTAAAACTGATGTTTTCCTTTAAGCCCAGGGCCACATAGAGACTGTGTTTGACCTGTGCCAATGCAGATATGGAGACCAGAGACAAGGGCATTTGCTGTCTGGTGTGTTTCTTTCCATCTGTCCTGGATATTATCCATAAATGGAGGAATCAAGTTTCTGGCTTTGTACGCTTTTTGAAAACAAATCCATTCCTGAAGCCCTTGCTTCTCAGATGATCAGAATATTGGGATGATAGTTGTGCTGCTGATGCTGCTAGCTCTCACATGGGGCAGTGGCCTGAGAAAACCAAAGGGCGATAAGCATGACTAAAATTTAGCTCTGAGCTGAAGAATATTCATGTTTTCCTGTGGCTAGGATGGGTACTCTTGAAATATGGAAAGTTCAGTTAGAACCTCCCAAATGAATTTTTTTTTTAAGTTTAAAAATTCGCTACTTTTTATCACCAAGATCAGAAACACAATGGCCTAATCAGTAACTGTGGACATTTTGAAACAGCCTAATATTTAAGAGGAAATTAAAAGTAAGCCTTGCTACTATCAATGTTAAAAATCACAAATAGACACACACATATTGAGTCACTGTAATAATTCTCTGGTCCTAGTTCACTGAGTCTCTGCAGATTCAATTTGGCATCAAATAACAGCCCATTCTTCTCTGCCACATTGGTCATTTGGAACTGATGAGGAGACAGATAGCACTTTAGCTGCACAGAAGAAGAAAGAAGTGCTCTAAGGTGACATTTTGTTTTGAAAGAAGTCTGGAGATGTAAGTTTGTCTACCTGTTTTTATAAACAACACTTACCAAAATTGGAGACTTTCACCATAATATCTTTTCTTAAACCAACTTAATTTATTAAGGGTTAAGATACTTGAATTTGCCTTTGGTTATGTCCGTAACACCTAAAACTCATCAAATTATTCTTACCTACAATTTCCTCATCTATGCAAGTGAAAAATAAAACTGCCTGAAAGCATTAAAAGGGACTTCCGAGTCATTGCTGATTCGAAACCAGGGCGCTTCAACTTTAACCTTCAAGATAAGCATGTTCACATCTTCAATTCCAGGCGTTGGCTAACATGCAAGACAAGCAAACTGCTCTCAGAAGAGACCTCACTTATGCAAAGAAGGCAGCCAGAGGCAGATGCCAAATTCAAAGTGGGACCTTGTAAGTAATGATTACAAAATGGATTAGGTTCCTAGAAGGACATGATATATGGACCTAGAGGGATGAACAAGCTTTTGTTAAATAACATGCTAAGATGATGACAGGAATTTAGTTCACCTTGATACCAATTCACCTAAAGTCAATTCTCCTGATGCCAATTTACCCTAATTAATCATCTAAAATTATCATTTTCTAGAGCAGTGGTTCTCAATCCTAGCTATGCATCGAGTGATTCTAACCTGGGGAGTTTTTCAAAACAATGCCCAGGCCACAACCCCAGAGATTCTGATTTATTTGGCTTGTAGTAGAGCCCAGGCATTGTCAGATAAAGTGTAAAACATCAGTTAGATGTAAATTTTAGAGAAAACAAATAATATTTTCATATAAGTATGTCCCAAATATTGTATAGGAGATATTGCATGAGACATACTTAAACTAAAAAGTTATTTGCTATTTATTTGAAATTTAAATTTAACTGGACATCTTATGTTTTCGTTTGTTAAATCTGGCAACTGTATCTGTAATTCTAGGTTTAGCCAGGACTAATAACCACTGCTCTAGTGTATATAGGTCTTATAAACTGGACTGGGTTTATTTAATGTTTTCCAAATAATTTTTCTTTTTTTTGAGACAGGGTCTTACTCTCTCACTCAGGCTGGAGTGCAGTGGCGCGATCTTGGCTTACTGCAACCTCTGCCTCCCAGGTTCACACGATTCTTGTGCCTCAGCCTCCCGAGTAGCTGGGATTACAGGTGCAGGCCACCACGCCCAGCTAATTTATGTATTTTCAGTAGAGAGGGTTTTTCCCATGTTTCCCAGGCTGGTCCTGAACTCCTGGCCTCAATTGATCCACCCGCCTTGGCCTCTCAAAGTGCTGGGATTATAGGCATGAGCCACCGCACACAGGAAATTTTGTTTTTTGTTTCTTTAAAGTATACTTTTCCCATTTCTAGGCAGTTGAATTCATTTTTAGACTGTTAGTTTCTAAAGGACTGTCAAACGTGTTTTATTTTTATATTTCTAATAAAGATTTCTAATATAAACATAATATATTAGATAGGTATGTAATAAATATTTATAATATATAATATATTTTGATTTATCTTATTTAACCCTTTTGAGCATTTACTTCTTTTTGGCCATTTGCTGTTATTTTATATTTCTTTGTGCTTTTTCTTATTAATTTGTAGGAATTACTTATATGTATAGAAATTAGTCCTCTTCTATGATATAAATAACAATATATTTTGTCTTTTGACTTAGTTCATGGTGATTTTTTAATGCAATTTTTAAAATTATATATGCAAAATAAATATTTTCTCTTCTATAACTTCTTAGTATTCTGTTATTCTTATAAAATCTTTCCCCACTTTGAGATTTTTTTTTTCGGTAAATTAACCTTTTTTTAAATTTATTTTTTATTATTATTATACTTTAAGTTTTAGGGTACATGTGCACAATGTGCAGGTTAGTTACATATGTATACATGTGCCATGCTGGTGTGCTGCACCCATTAACTCGTCATTTAGCATTAGGTATATCTCCTAATGCTATCCCTCCCCCGTCCCCCCACCCCAGAACAGTTCCCAGAGTGTGATGTTCCCCTTCTTGTGTCCATGTGTTCTCATTGTTCAATTCCCACCTATGAGTGAGAACGTGCGGTGTTTGTTTTTTTGTCCTTGCGATAGTTTACTGAGAATGATGATTTCCAATTTCATCCATGTCCCTACAAAGGACATGAACTCATCATTTTTTATGGCTGCATAGTATTCCATGGTGTATATGTGCCACATTTTAAAATTCACCCATTTTGTTGCAGAGGCTATAACTCCAATATTCTGCCCTCTTTAGATACAGAATGCTTATTTCTAATGGGTCACATCCTTGCATCAGGTTGTGACCATGTGAGCATGTAATTTTTGTTGTCTTCTTTTGGCCAGTGAGAAATAAACAGAAATGTGGGGTGGGAATTCTGGGAAACCTTAAAAGACTTCCTTCTCTTGTTCCTGCTCCTGAAACGGCTGGATCTAGCAGCCATATTGAACTATGAGAGACCTTGCCAATGTTCCAGGCTAAGGGGGCAGAATAGAAGATATGATCCTAGATCCTTAATGTCACAGTAAAGCTACCTCCACAGCCCTGACTCCCTACGTCCAGGCTTCTTTTTATGAGAGGAATATAATTGCTACCATATTTAAGTCACTTTTATTTTGAATATTTTAAAAATACGCTAACCTAAACTAATCCTAACTGCTACACCACATTTGCTCTTAATAGTTATATTATTTCTCTCTCTCTCTCTCTTTCTCTTTCTGTCTCCTGGTGTATGTGTTTTACTTCCTCTTGAATTTATTTTGGCATATAATTTTTTTCAATATTTTATTGTAGTAAAATACACATAACATTAACCATCTTAACCATTTTTAAATGTATAGTTCAGTAGTATTAAAGGTATGTATTATGTTGTACAGTCATTACCACCATTCATCCATAACTCTTTTCATCTTGTGAAACTAAAACTCTGTACCCATTAAACAATAATTCCCTATTCCTTTCTCCCCACAGTTACTGGCAACAGCCATTCTTTGTCTCTATGACTTTGACTTCTTTAATATTTCATACAAGTAGAATCACACAGTATTTGTCTTTCTGTGACCGGCTTATTTCAGTTAGCATAATGCCCTCAAGGTTCATTCATGTTGTAGAACGTGCCAGAATTGCCTTCCTTTTCTAAAGTTGCATTATATTCCATTGTATGTGTATGACATTTGTTTTTCCATTCATCCATTGATGGACACTTGGGTTGCTTCTACATTTAAGCTATTGTGAATAATGCTGCTGTTAACATGGGTTTACAGATGTCTCTTTAAGACCTTGCTTTCAATTATTTTTGGTATATACCCAAAAGTGGAATTATTGGGTCCTACGGTAATTCGTTTTTAATTTTTTGAGGATTGGTCATATTGTTTTCCACTGTGACTGCATCATTTTACATTCCCATCAATGGTGCACAAGAGTTACAATTTCTCCATACCCTCACTAACACTTGTTATTTTCTGTTTTGTTTTGATAGTAGCTATCCACAAAACAAATGGCTACCATCAAAAGGATATGTGGTAGCCAACCACATCCTGGGTGTGAGATGGTACTTATTGTAGTTTTAATTTGCATTTCCCTGATCATTAGTGATGTTGAGCATCTTTTCATGTGCTTATTGGCCATTTGTATATCTTCTTTGGAGAAATGTCTAGTCAAGTCCTTCTCATTTTTTTTTTAAGACAGAGTCTGGCTCTACAGCCCAGGCTGGAGTGCAGTGGCATGATCTTGGTTCACTGCAACCTCTGCCTCCCAGGCTCAAGCCATCCTCCTACCTCAGCCTCCCGAGTAGCTAGGACTACAGGTGTGCACCACCATGCCCAGCTAATTTTTGTATTTTTTTGTAGAGATGAGGTTTTGCCATGTTCCCCAGGCTGAACTTGAACTCCTGAGCTCAAGCCGTCTGCCTGCCTCAGCTTCCCAAAGTGCCAGGATTGCAGGCATGAGCCATCACTCCCAACCTTCATTTTTGAATTGGGCTGTCTGTTTTTTGTTGTTGAATTTTTGGTGTTTTTCTATATATTCTGAAGGTGTATATCCTTTTATAAAGTAATACATGCTAATTTTAAAAGACACAAAGATGCGTATAATCAGAAAGAAGATATAGACTTTGTACCACTACTTAAAAATATACATTAAGAATTTTGATATATTTCCTTCTAGTCTTTTTTTCTTTATTTTCTTTTCCTTTCTTCTTCTTTTTTTTTTTTTTTTCCTTCAGACAGGGTCTCACTCTGTCAACCAGGCTGGAGTGGGATTGTGCAATCATAGCTCAATACAACCTTGAATTCCTGGGCTCAAGGGATCCTCCCTTCTCAACCTTCCAAGTAGCTGAGACTACAGGGATACACCACCATGCCCAGCTAATTAAAAAAAATTTTTTTTAGAAATGGGGTCTCACTATGTTGCCCAGGTTGGTCTCAAACTTCTCAAGCAATCCTCCTGACTTGGCCTCCCAAAGTGCTGGGATAACAAGCATGAGCCACTATGTCTGGCCCAGTCTTTTTTCTTTGTATTTTACTTTATATAGCAAAGTACTTGGTTCATAATAGTTGCTAAAAAATATTGGTTGAATAATTGAAGTATGTATATTCTTTTACATTTTGATTTTTGCCTTTTAAGGACAACTTCATTAGTACATGGAGCATAGGTTCATAACCATTATTATATCATTACTAATAAAAATATAATGAAGATATTAGTGCATATGGCTTTGTCTAAATGTAATTTCCAGGAATGGAGAAAACACTTTAAACATCTTTAACGCTTCGGGTACACAATGGCACAGTGTTGAATTTTGATGGTCATTAATAAATAATATTCCTCTTTGAAGCCAATATTTAAAGCAATAGAGGTATGAAACATAGAAGAAGGCAAATGGAGACCAAAATATCCTATTTATCACTAATAAATCTCATATTAGAAATATATTTGTATCTCCAGGCAAATATGCATCTTCTACAGACCTGCAGAATTAAACCCAGGGCAGGCCTCCCTGTCACACCAGCAGGAGTAGAGCAGGGGCTCCGGGTGAAGAGTTTGATCCAAGAAGAAGAAAAGAGAACAGGAATGATTTATGCATGCCCGGTGTACCCTTTCAGTTCATTTACCGGGTAAATATTTTCCCCGAAAAAAGAGGGATCCGGTATAGAAAGGCTAGAAACATCAAGTCATCAGAGCTCCCCAAGAATGGAAAAAGGAGTGGAGAGAAAGTGTTACTGCACATCTTTATAAGAACTAAAAATTGGAATTTTTCAAACTTCTTAATAATGTAATAAGTAACAAATGGTATCTAATTGTTTCAAGTTTCTACTTCTGATTACTAATGAAGTTGAACATTTTCCTCAACATTTAAAAATTGGTTGGTGAATCATCTGTTCATATGTCTTGGAGCTTGAGTATTTTTCTTATCTATTTGTATGATTTCTTTATGTAATTCAAATAATCTTTTATTGTACTTTCTGTTAATATTTTTGGCAATGTTTTGCCTTTTAATTTGGGGATATAAAATAAATTTATGTAATCAAATCTATTCCATTATTTGTGCTTTAATTTATTGCCTTTAAGCTTAGAAAATCCTTCTCCCCATAATGGACATGCACTTTTGTTTTACTCTAGTTCTTTATGGTTTAATTTATATTTACTTATTTAATCCAACTGATATTTTTGGGTTTTGTATAGTATGGGTAAAAACTCTTTTGTCTGCCTTCAACCTACCTGCATTTCTAAGTTTTCTCCTTTTAGCCCTCTGTGTTCTCACTGACTCCATAGACAAGCAAAGAGGGAAAGAAGTGAAAAAGAAATAAAAATTATGTGATTTTTATTTTCTTAATTAGAAGGGAACAGTCATTTCTGCAAGCAATCAAGTTTCTGTAGACACTTTTCCTTTCTCTGATCAGTAGCCTAAGATGCACGTGGTTTTTTCTTTCTTTCTTTTCTCTCTTTTTTTTTTTAAGATTGAGTTTCACTCTTGTTGCCCAGGCTGGAGTCAATGGCATGATCTCGGCTCACCGCAACCTCTGCCTTCCGGGTTCTAGCAATTCTCCTGCCTCAATGGGTGGGTGGATTACAGGCACCCACCACCATGCCTGGCTAATTTTTTGTATTTTTACTAGAGAAGGGGTTTCATCATGTTGGCCAGGCTAGTCTGGAACTCCTGACCTCAGATGATCCACCTGCCTTGGCCTCCCAAAGTGCTGGGATTACAGGCATGAGCCACCACACCCAGCCAACATATGTTTTCTTACAATAAAAGTAACTTTGAAAGTATCCAGTATAAACTCTAAAAATGGAAGAGAAAAAATTATCAACTTACTTTTAAGGCATACAAATATACTCAGAAAAGAGTAAACTTGTGTTTTCATATGGCCCATATGAAATGCCTTGAATTGGAAAAATTAAATTGTTACCTAATTAAACATTAAGTCAATTTTAATTTTTTTAATTGTTGATTTTCTTAGTTGTTATTGAGAATTTCAACCATAACCTGACTCTCACTGGAGATGAGTAGATTACAAAGACATTTAATAAGGATAGTATGGGAAGAAGGTAAAGAAAAAGAATCATAAAGAGAGAAAAAAATGGTGAGGTGGGTAGAAAGAATCAATGGGGAAGAGAAAGAGTATAGGAAAGAGGATGAATTGGGGAACTGGGAGGAGAAGGAAAGAGAAGAAAGAGAAAGAAACAGAAAATGATCCTCAATCACTCAAAATGGGCTCAGGTGCCATATTGTCAACTTTTAAAAAATGGCTTATATTTATTTAGTGCTTCCCCTGAGCCTGACCCTGATCTAAGCTCTTTATAGATACTAATTATTTCAACTCAATTATCTTTTCTGTATACAGTTAGACATTAGTGTCAAAATTTACTTTGTTGGTATTATTAACATGCATTACCAAATCTTTCAATAGATCTAAGACTCCGTAAAGCAGGCTTGAGGTCTGCTATATGGGGAGTTAATCATACTTCTATTAAGGTACCCAGGAAACTAAAAACAATGATATGTTGGCTCCTTTTCCAAAAAGTATGGATGGCAAAATCTTGCACCCTTCTATTTGGCCATTATGAGGACTGAAGGGGGGAGCTCTAGAGCCAAGGCATTTGGCCTACTGTATTTGATAGTTTCTAAGCTCCTGATCCAACAAGCCCTCTGGGACACAGGCCTAATGCACTATGTTCCTTCTACTGAAATGTCAAGTCTGCATTTATTACAGTAATTATCCATTGCATGAATATATGGACTGAACATTGATTCTGAGATCACACATTGTAATATATCTAATATATCCACTGGGCCAAATAACACTCAATTTTTCACACTGTTTTAAAGCCAAATTTGCTACTCAGATACTTAAAGGCACCTTGTATTCTGGTAAATAGTTGACACCATAAGTCAGATCAGTCAAATCATAATCTTTTGATGGAAGAGATGGAAAAAAGGTGCATTTTTATGGTAAAGAAATGCAAATTAAATCATAATCCTTTGATTATCATGTTTTCAAAGATGAGAAAGACTCTTAAGATCCAGTGTTGGGCAAGGTGTAGAAGAAATTCTCATAAACTTTTGGCAAGAGTATACTGCATTACCAGAGGCCAATTTTGAAATATATATATAAGAAGTTTAATGTATATATTTGATACTTAGTAATTCTACTTTTTGAAAATTATCCTGAGGTAATAACTGGACTTACATGCCAAATGTGGTAAAAGACTATTCATGGTAGTAAAAATTTGAAAAAACCTTTATTGTCTATTAATGGAGAACTAGTTAAATAAATTATACTATAGCTATATCATGAAATACTAATATAAATAATTAAAAGGATTTATATTTATGTGGAAAAAAAGCAAGTTACAGAAACTAAGACCAGTATGATCCTTTAAAAACTATATACATATTTACAGAAAAATGCATCTTCTCCCTCTTGATGCTCTCTTGTACGCAAAGGGAACTTGGAGTCACACTCTTAACTTTTCCATACCCCTTTATTCACTCTGCTTCAGGAGGTTTTAGGGACGTATTTGATTGGCAACTTGGGTAAGAATAAATGGTTAATACTTGGCTCAGCACTGCCTCTTTTCCTCCTGGAGTTAAGCTTTCTGCTGGGAATAATAGTTCTTTTCTGTTCAACACTGTCTTTCTTGCCAGACACTGGGATTAAAAATTTGACTAATTCTGGGGTTCATCTAGCAGTCCCATTTGGCACTCACACTAATCTACATTCTCTAACATCTTTATTATTAATAAAAGGAATATTTTTGCCTTATGATGCCATTCTTTTGTCTTATTTATCAATTAATTCAGTACCCTGGACAAGAGAGAAGGCTGCTATTTATTGAGTCCTTTCAAGCACCCAGTTACAAATGCATGAAAAAAGGAATGGAGAAATAGATGCCAAACTCTTAATGGTGCCTCTCAGGAGATACTTCACTTGCTACTTTCCAAATTCTGGACATCTGTATATTTTATTTTTTAAAAAAATAAAAGCTTGTTTTACTTTTAGAATCAATAAAGGGAAATCAATATTGATATTTCATCTTGAATAAAAAGATTAATAAAACATATATAACAATGAAATACTACTCTCTATATAAAATTAACATGACCTCCCTAAATTGTACTACTTTTGGCTCTCAAACATATAATGAAATGAGTATTGTCATTCACTCCTGGTGGCCTCTAGCTGTGCAGTAGAGTGGTAACAGGAGAATAGCTGCCTTGTCATTGACTAGCTGTGTAACATTGAATGAGTCATTCCCCTTTCTGTGAGCCTCAATTTTCTCATTTGTTAAATAAGTTTCCTTGGGGCCCTAAGTTTCTAAGATTCTATACACTGATGTTTAATATACTAACAGTATCTGGGGAATATCAGCTATCAGCAAGCTATTAAAGTTGTCTCTAAGTATCCGATCTCCTTTTTTCTGAGAATTCTCCTTCCTACCCACAGTCCTCTGGCCCATGGCTGATGGGCTACCTGACTCAAGGTGATCCAATTAGTTTTTCTTTCCAGGAAGAAGTTAGAACTAGGAATTAGAAACAGAAAGTATGTGGCCGGGTGCGGCGGCTCACGCCTGTAATCCCAGCACTTTGGGAGGCCAAGGTGGGCGGATCACAAGGTCAGGTGTTTGAGACCAGCCTGGCCAATATGGTGAAACTCCGTCTCTACTAAAAATACAAAAATTAGCCAGGTGTGGTGGTGAGCGCCTGTAGTCCCAGCTACTCGGGAGGCTGAGGCAGGAGAATCACTTGAATCCGAGAGGAGGAGTTTGCAGTGAGCTGAGATTGCGCCATTGCACTCCAGCCTGGGTGAGAGCGAGACTCCGTCTCAAAAAAAAAAAAAAAAAAAAAAAAAGAAGAGAAAAAAGAAACAGAACGTAGGTTTTTATGGGCCACTAGAACCTAGTGTGTATAAATTTAGAAGCTGTGGCAAAGAGAAGGAGAGGGAGCTGATCTGTAGAGACAGGAAGAATGAAACAGATTAAGAGAGATAATTAGAGAAGATAAATTTAAAAAGGAATTTTTCTGGCTTCCAAGTTACTGGTTCCAGAGGCCTAAACTTACTCCCATTCTTAGTTTCAATGAAACAAATTTGTGTCCTTATAATAAATCATCCTTTTTAGCTTAAACTAGATGGTGTTGGTTTCTTTAACTCACAACCCAAGAATCTATTTTAAAATGCACATCTCTGTCAGCAAAAATGGTCTCATTCCATAGCCCCTTGGCCCTATCATTCCAAATCTATGCAAAGAAAGTACCTGAATGATCCTAATTTTATTTGTTTAACCTGTACAAGGCTTCCTCCCCATCCTATAAGCATCCCCAGGAAAAATCTAGCACTGCCTATCCCAGCTACTGATCCCAAGTATATGGACCACCCACCTATGTCCTAGAACCGACTTACCAGATATCTGGTTGGGCTCTAAGCTAGCATACTACTGTGAAAAGTGTGAAAGGAAGGCTAGGACTTCCAGACTCCAAGATTTCTGAAAAATTGATCATAGGCTTGAGGAGGACCAAGAGGAAGGTGATCTGGAAAGCTACAGCAGTTGGGAAGAAATGTGTGCTGTGTCTGGCTGATGAATTCTATTAGCCATAGAGAATGGAATAAACCTGATTTAGGAATGCAGTTCTTTCTTTTTTTTCTTTGAGACAGTGTATTGCTCTGTAACCCAGGCTGGAGTACAGTGATGTGACTGATTATAGCTCACTGTAATCTCAAACTCCTGGGCTCAAGCAATCCTCCTGCCTCAGCCTCCAAAAGTGTTGGGATTACAGGCATTAGCCACTGAACCCAGACTGGAATTACGTCTTGAAAGGCTGATTTAAGGGATAAAATAGTATCAATAATTTCATAAGGAAGGTTTCCTGAAGTTTATAGCCAGATGGTTTTGTAACTGAGATTTTTTAAATACATGAATGGCTGCCTTGATTTTTGGCTGTCTTGGATTCATTACTTGATAAGCAATTTGTTTTTCTTAAAATGAAATAAGCTCCACTGGTACAAAGTTAATATGTCTACCCTCAGGTAACATGTAACAACCTAGAAAAAAGTTAGACTGCTTTCTACCCAATGTTCAACCAGATTATATTAAAATATCACAGGTCTAAGCAAGTATTTGAATTGTCTTTGAGACTTCTTCTTTCATACATACATTTCAATCTGTGATTGAATGGAGAAGTCTTTGGATGAAATGAAGCTCCCATGAAATTATTCTGGATAAGTAAATGAAGACATATCTTTCTAACATTTTTCTGTTTTTCTTGTGAATGTCTGTTTTTCACCATTCATCTACAAATAGAGCCACAATTCAACGTTGAATACTAGAACTGAGTGAGTTCCAGTAAAGGAATGTGATTATTGTGGAGGGAGTCACATAAAGTTCATAATAGTCTTCCAAACGTCCTTTTTGTAATACACCTAGACCAGGTTTTATAAAGCTCAGGTGCTAAATTTATAATTGTGAACAAGTGCTATTTTTGGTTTTGAGTAGCAAAAATCTAGAAAAATTAAATGCCTTATGACATTATGATCTGGCCATTATGTGGAATTTATACAGGCATTAAAAAGAGTGATGTAGAGTTGAACTGAAAAAAATCTTCATGTTATTGTAAATTAAAAGAAAAATCTACAGGGCAACAAGCATGGCATCATTTTGTTTTTATATAAAAAAGAAAACAGGCTGGGCGCGGTGGCTCATGCCTGTAATCCTAGCACTTTGGGAGGCCGAGGCGGGCAGATCACCTGAGGTCAGGAGTTCGAGACCAGCCTGGCCAACATGGTGAAACCCTGTCTCTACTAAAAATACAAAAGAAATTATCTGGGCCTGGTGGCACACGCCTGTAGTCCCAGCTACTTGGGAGGCTGAGGCAGGAGAATTGCTTGAACCCGGGAGGCAGAGGTTGCAGTGAGCTGAGATCGCACCACTGCACTCTAGCCTAGGCAACAGAGTGAGATCCTGTCTCAAAGAAAAAAAAGGAAAACAATTATTTTTAAAACTATGTGTATGTGATATAAATGTGTGTGTATAGAGAAAAATGCAGAGAAACACATTTGAAATTGTTAAAATTGGATACCCATGTAAGAGAGAATTGAAAGAAGATGGTGAGATTAATAATTTTTCTTTATATATCTCTGGTTTATTTGATTTATTTTAAAGAACACGTATTACCTTTTATAATAAAAATTCAATTTCACATAAAACTAAATAAAGTAAGTCTAGTGAAAGCAAACTCTAAAACGAGAACTGTTGTGTCAGTCTCCCATATATTTATGCTTCGGGTGCCAATTGTTTTAGCTCTGCTCTAAGACCAGCTACTGGCTGAGTGGTTGTCTGACTTGCTCATGTTCTTTGTGGATTGATGATCCCCAAGTCACCCGACAATTGTGTAACCTAACAAAATGCTGGACTTTATGTTTTTCACTACCTACTCTTTCTTATTTCTTTATGCAAACTAGACTCATATTATGAAAGTAAATTTACTAGTGTCCAGCTCAGAGGAGCTTAAGTTCAAAGACAAGGTGATAGACTTTATTAGGCAAAAAACTTTTAAGATTTCATACGTCAGCAGGCATTTCCCAATGGATCAACCCCAAGAGAAAATGGGACCCAGCAAACATTTTACCTGACTGATTATAACAAAAAGGTTGCTATGTACCACTCTTAGGCACAGTTTCAAAAGGAGGACAGCACCATGCTCATTTGCTAAAGCCCCCTCCTAGTTACAGTAAGAACCTCTGTGCATGTGCATGTGTGTCAGCATGTGTGCGTGTGCATGTGTGTGCACGCGTGTGTGCACGTATGACTGTGCGCACGCGTGTGTGTGTGCGCGTGTGTGTGTGTGTGTGCATAAAGCCAGAAGAAATTTCTCAGGTTGCAAGTTGTGTCCTGCCAGCCAACAGTCAAGGTAATTTTGAGGGAAATAACATAATCAGCTTTTTCTACAAGGAAAGGAAGCACATGAAAATATGATGAAATAGGTCAAAGAGTGGCCAACTTATTTCCATTTCCATTTCCTGGAAAAGCTCCAGGGACTGAAAGTCTTGAGGAACTGTATCTGTAGTTTTGTTTGTTTACTTGTTTTATTGTATCTCTTAATGTTTGCATGGTTTTTAAATCTAGATTTAACAGTAAAATTGCATTAGTGTTTGGTCAGTTACATTTGTACTTTAGATTGGGGTTTATAACAAACATAATGTTTATAATTTAAACGTAAAATACATTAACATGAGATCCTGGCACTTACAATCTTACCTAGGAGCCTAAAATTCAAAGCCAAGGCTCTAGACACTCATTGGAGAATCTCATCCTTTAAAATTAGATCAATTGCAATATTTCTAAAGAATGAATCCTGCACTCTGTATATGTGAGACTTATATCAAGTAGCCTGACCCTTGAGAGAGATGCACCTGTCTTGTCCTTTATTGCCTGTGAAATCCCAGGCAAGTCTGTGGGTAATTTGGCATTTCTGTTTTGCTCATCTGCCGAAAGAAGTTGTTGGAGGTGACTCTTCTCTTTCTCTCTCAAGCTGTTGTACTTCAAACCCTTTGGTTTCTGGCTTTCAGATCACCAATAATTGAGGTGAAATAGCTGCAAACAGACTGGCCACTTGACTACTTAGGGATTTGATTATTATTATGATAGAAATAGGTAAGGAGTTATGAAACTGACTTTATTTCTTTTCCTCCTGGGGTGAGCAAAAGAGCGGAGGAGTAAATAAAATATTTTTATTGCCAAGACTATGTTGATTTTTTTGGCCATCCCTCATTCACATTTTAGTCAGTAGGAAAAGTTCCCTGGGTCTAATAGCTAAATCTCTGAAAAGGGGGTAAGGAAATGGAAGAAAAGGATTAATAAATAATAATATTTATTGAGTACTATGGTGTGCCAGACCTGCTAAAACCTTTTAAGATTACCTCACAAATCTATAAGGTCTGTATTATAATTATGACCAGTTTAGAGATGACTGAAAAACTGAGAGAAGTAGTGGTTTGCCTCAAATTCCCCATCTAGTTAGTGGCACAGCTATACCAGTTTATTTATAGAGTCCCTATAAATCCCAGTTAGCCTGGGACAGTCCCAGTTTACATCTTGAATCCTGAAGTAATAACGAATGGTGTCTCCTGTTCCATTTCAAAAGTGGACTACACAAATTATATGGTCACTCTATCTCAAGGTTTCTCAATCTTGATTTGAGACATTGACATGTTGGGCTGTAAGATCCTTTGTTATAGGGGGCTGTCCTGTGCATTGCCAGGTGTTTCACAGCATCGTTGCCCCCTACCCAGTAGATGCCAATAGCACCCTCCACTTCAAGTAATGAAAAGCAACAATGACTTCAGACGTTGCCAAATGTCCCCAGGAGGGCAAAATTGCTCCTAACTGAGAACCTACAGCATCTAAAGCTTATATTTATACAAATTTAACTACAAAAGGACAAAACAATCTATTTGTCACAGCTGAACCTATGCAGTAGTGTGGCTGGCATACACCCTGTACTCAATAAAAGTTATTTCTTTTTGTACAGATGGGATCTCGCTATGCTGCCCAGGCTGATCTTGAACTCCTGGCCTCAAGCCATCCTCTGGCCTTGGCCTTCCAAAGTTCTGAGATTACAGGCAAGAGCCACTATCCCTGACCTAAAAGTTCATTTCTTTGGGGTGTCACTTGGCTTTCCAATTGTAGAGAGGTGCAAGGGCTAAACAAGTAATGAAAAAGATGCCTAGAAGGGCTCTTGTGATAAAAATGGGTTTGTTGCAATTCTTATTAGAGAAAACTGAAATAGTGTAACTACAAAGTGACGCAGCAACCTCCTGGCTGCCCATTCTAATGATATGAAGTTTGAATCTTGATTCCACTGGGGCTTTTGCCTTAGTAATGGACATAAAAGCTAACGTGATAAGAGAGTGTTACAGTGAGTTTCATACTGCAGCAATCTTCTTCAGTATTAATTGCTTATCAGTGTTCTATTTCCTCCTATTCTTAGAAATGACCACCATTTCTTTCATACCACCATTTTCATTTATTAGCAATAACAGAGGAAATACCAATAGCACCAATTCAAAATGAATCCACATGACGTGTTTTATCCTTACAGCTGTAATAACTAGTAACTAACATGGATTGGAAAGCACTTCGCAAATGTAAAAAGTGCTGTACAGATACATTATAATTATCATCATTAATAAATTAGCCCGATTCTCCTAGTTCAAAAGGCACGTAAGGTCAGATACATGGGCTTCAGTGGGGCAAAATGATCACAACCTACAATGTAGCAATGGTTCACATGTGTTGGTAACAAGTTTTACCCCATGCAATCCTGCAGAGCTGAAGTTACACACCCTTCAAAATATGGGAGAATGAAGCTAAAAGTAGACAAGACAGTTTTTTTTTAAATTTAATGCTTTTTTTAAATAACAGACTCCTACCTCTTTTATATTAATGCCTAAATAGATAATATAATTAATCAAACTTCTAAATTGTACATTATAACAAAATTAAAATGTCTTATTTAAGGTGACAGCAAATTTTGTTACTTTCTATGAGCTGATATTTCAGATACCATTAGAATTTCAAAGCATTCTGCAACTTCAAAGAGGTCAGATTGGTAAAATTTGTGCTTGCACACCCTCATGGAATATTGTCAGTATTCATTCCAAAATTGTTACTAGAACAAAACAGCTTTATCCATTCCCTTGCCAGCAGAAGTCTTGGCACGAGATGGCTCTTGGCTGGACCATAAATAAAATTCCTTGAATCACCAGTATCTTGATTTAAGAAAGAAATTTTACTGTGTCTTTCATACACAAAAGCTGATTAACAATGGTTAAAAAAACACTACTCCACTTTTTCACAGGTGTACAAAAGGAAATATAATGGAATTACATTCAACAATAAAGCTTAAAGTTCACTCTAGGTAATAGTTGCATTAACATTCACATACACAAGCACAGAGTAAGTATATTTCAGGAGTCTTAGCATAGCATACAGCATACATATGGGAGATTGATTTCAGGTAACATCATAGGTGTTAGTAAGATTAGCAATTCAGAGTGTTATAGAAAAGGAAAACTAAACCAAAGAGAAGGTGTAGGCTAGCACACCAAGACAAGTCACAGAATTAGTAGATTGAAAAATCTGCTCACTGTATGAGAAAACAATATTTTTCTTCAATTTTTGGGTCTTGATATATAGTTGGTTAGAGAAGGTTGTGTATCAAAGTGCACATAATTGTTTCTTAGAAAAGAGAGAGAGAGAGAGAAAGAGAGATCATTTTATTTAGTAATACATGCAAGAGGCAGCCCCAGAGTGACCTGAAAGAGTAAAGCTGTGATTGGCAGGTGGCCGATATAATACAGATGTTTCAGGCAATTCTCTTAAAGCACTTCTGTAGCAGCAATGATCATTTAAATGGCTGTAGACTGAATTCTCTTTTGAGGAGAGTTTAGGGGAATTGTATTCATATTTCTCTTTAAAGATTTATAGCTATAGACTTTCTCTTTTTTTAAATAAATCTATGAAACAACAAACAGCGAAAGGTGAGGTGTCGGGGTTTTCTTTTGCTTTTGCATAAGTATTGGAAAAGGATCTGGCCTTTTCATAAACATTGTGTGCAAAAGAATTTTTAATAAAGTGAGCACAGGACATGTATAGGAAACACATCAGATCTGCTTCTGTTTCCCAGGGTGGTTCTCTGTTAAAACACTGAACTGTTGGCTTGCAGGTATGATGCAGATTTTAGGTATAATGACGTCACAGCCAACAGACTTTAGGGTCTCCTAAAGCCTTGTCAGTGGGGGTAGTTTTGTCTCCTAGAGGGTGGCTGCCACCTCTTGAGTTGTAAGATTTAGAAAGTCTGGTCCCTTTAAGTTTACACTTCCCCTCCATACTGATAACTTCCGCTGTTTATTTGTCTTTGTTTTCTTGCCTTCCTTGTACCAATTAGTCTAAGCTGGCTCGTCTCAGCCAATATCTGGCACTCGCATACCCGCGGTAGCCACACATACCCAGTGGCCACAAACTCCCAAGCTGCTCAATCTCAAAACTTTTCAGCCTGCCCTGCAAGTGTCATCAAGACAGGATCCCCGGAGCACAGGGCAGAGAGTCCAACCTCTCACTGGCGGGGCTGGGAAGCCTCTCCTTTGCGGCGGAGGAGAAAGGAAACTTGGGTCTGCTTTTTAGGTTCTGAAAACAAGCCAGAGTGGAGAGAAAGAGTTAACACCAGACTTAGTAAAGCTTTTACGACAAAACCTGTTAAATGCGTTCTAGACAGACACAGGGAACTTTCTGCAGATTTCTGAGGTCTCTAAGAGGGCTCATGTAGATAGGAAAAAGGAGCAGGGAATTGCTACATGGGAGAGATTTGCCATTATTACAAAAACTGGCTAAGTGGCTTGTTTCCATTTGAGGACCTCACTGGTCACTGTTGTCAGTCGTGCTGTTCCCTTTCTCTTTTTTCTCCTGGGTCTTGTTACCCTTCTTCTTTTTCTTCTTTTTCTTGGTCTCCTCCTTTTTGCCGAAGGTTATGAAGTCACTTTTGTCAATTTGGCTGTTAGTAGGCTCCTGCCGGATGGAGATGATTGCAGGAGATCCTGGGATAATGAATTTGTCGGGCAACTCACCGGGACCGGATTGTTTGGGGTTGCCTGGTCCGTATTTAAAGGTCCAGCTGTTGCTGTTGACACCCGCACCGACTGGAGGGGACACTTCTCCTGCCTCTGGTTCTGAAAGACAAAACATTACAAATCATTAACAGGGTCAACACATGCTCTTGATGCCACACTGCTGGTAGAGTACAGGAGTACTGCATAGGCAGGCTGAACCTCCCCAGAAAAATCACGAGTTGTTTGTTCAAGTCTGAGGGCAAGGCAAGTGTTTACTTATTTATTTATTTGTTTAATTTTTTTGAGACAGGATTTCCCTCTGTCACCCAGGCTGAAATGCAGTCACTGCAGCCTCGACCTCCTGTGCTCAATCAATCCTCCCATCTTAGCCTCCCAAGTAGCTGGAACTACAGGCACAAGCTCCCATGCCAGGCTAGCTTTTTAAAAAAAATTTTATAGAAATGGGATCTCACTATGTTGCCCAGGCTGGTCTCAAACACTGAAGCTCAAGAGATCCTCCCACCTTGGCCTCCCAAAGTGTTGGAATCATAGACATGAGCTACCACACCCAGCCAAGGCCAGTATTTACAGACAAGCAAGAGGGCAGGTTTTTTCACCAGGATACCAAGAATCTAGTTTCATAGTAACATATGTTTGGTTCTTTGTGAAGAATTTCCTAAAGAATACAGTTGTGATTATCTTGACTGGGAACGGGATGGGAAATACAGAGCCTAAAGGCAAAATATGCTCCTTTTAGTGTCTAGATTAAACTTTGGCTATAAATGTATTAGGATGTCTATTTTGTCCAAAACAAGAAAAATTAGCTGAATAAATTATTTGATCTTAATTTTATTGTAATAACATTGAAGGGTGGTGGGATGCAGCATGGAAGAGATGGGAATACACAGCGTAAGAGGATGGAATCCTGTTGTAAATTGAGCCTATTTGTTTAGATAAAACACTGGGAGCCAATTTTACTTTCCAAGCCAAATTCCTTCCCTCAGTGTGCTCACAGTCTAGTTGGACATACACTCAAGCAACTAGAAACCAACTTAATACATGCAATAACTAAAGTATATGTAAAGTATTGTGGGACTCCAGAAGAAGAAATTGTTAATTATACTTGAGAAAGTTAATGGGGTTCCAGAGGAGGTGAAATCTGCCCTGAGTCTTGGGAAAATGATTATGCATCCACAGGAGTTTTCAATAAAAGACATTCCCAAGAGTCTGATTGGAAGACACACCATAAAGTATACCAGTGACTTCTAGAAGAGTAGAAGTCAGAGCTGGAGAGGAAGGGTAATGGTCTGTCTGGGCAAAGTGATCCCAGTGGCCATGACATTGGAACTCTGACATCATAGCAATGTTTATGTATCTAACACTGCTCCTTTGGTTGACACGTGAAAAGCTCCATCAAATAAACTGTTTATGTTCAATTACAGTTTAGGGTTGGGTACAACTGCTATTTCAATTTCCTATTACTTCTCAGTCTCCTCTAATTTGGTGTCCCTGAGCAGTAATTTTCTAACATAACTCATGTCAAGTTCATTATATTACTTCCACAATCAATGGTCACATTTTAGTCCTCATCTTATCAAACCTCTCAGCAGCATTTGTCATCCCCTTCTTGAAACACTTATTCTCATGAGTTCTTTGTCATGTAGAATAACCCCAATAAGTTCTTAGATGGACTGGACCCCTGTTACAAAAGGCAGATTAACAAGAAAAAAAAGGAAACAGAAGTTTATTAACATGTACATTTCATATATACATGACAGACACCCAGAGAATGAGCAGTTCTCAAAAAGGTGGCTTAGAATTCCAGCTTATATAGCATCTTCAACAAAGAACAATAAATTTTTAAAGAAGTGTAAGACAAAGGAAAAGACCTTTAAGGACTTTGAGTCTCTAATGGGTAGCTACTTGGGGGAAGGCAAATGAATGGCAGATAAAGGCTAATTTGTAAAGCAGTACCATTTCCAGGCCAATAAGAGTCCAAAGTTATCTTCAGTGGTTAACCTTTGTTCTCCCTGGTGGTGGGAGGCAGAGGAGGGAGGTGGAAGTAGGATAACTTTTGTCTTTGTAAATTTATGGTTTTTTAGGCAAATACAGGGAGGGCAGAAGACCTCTCCTATATCTGCTTCTTTTATTATTATCATGATTATTATTTTTTAAATTTGAGATAGAGCCTTGCTCTGTTGCCCAAGCTGGAGTGCAGTGGCGAGATATCAGCTCACTGCAGTCTCTGCCTCCTAGGTCCAAGTAATTCTCGTGCCTCAGCCTCCTGAGTAGCTGGGACTACAGGCACATGCCACCATGCCTGGCTAATTTTTTTTTTTTTTTTTTTTTTTGTATTTTAGTAGAGATGGTGTTCCATCATGTTGCCCAGGCTGGTCTCGAACTCCTGAGCTCAGGCAATCTGTCCACTTTAGCCTCCCAAAATGCTAAGATTACAGGCATGAGCCCACTGCACCCAGCCTGTATCTGCTTCTTTTAACTTGCCTTCAGCTCAACAATCCTTCTTATTTTGGGACAGCATATTCTGGCCCCCACCATCAAAACATTCTCCTGACCTTTCTCTCTGACTGTTCTTTGACAGTTTCCTTTGTCAGTCTCCTCATCTGTGTGTTGAAGCTTCCTTGGGTTTGGCCCTAGACTCTCTTCTCTATTTTCTCTTCACTCTCTCCTTTTGGGATCTCAGCCATATCCATAGATATAAATACCATATGAATAAGCTGATGAGATGCAGACTTATATTTTAAGCCCACATCTCTCTGTGCTCCAATCTCATGTATAACTGCCTATCTGGTATCCCCAGTTGGAAATCTCATGGGCATCCCAAACTGAAGAAATCTGAAATCAAACTCTTGATTCCTCGAATCTATTCCTTTCTAAATCTTTCCAGTTTCAGTAAATTACACCCCATTTACCCCATTTCTCAAGCCAGAAAGTTCAAAGCTAATTATTCATTTTTCTCTATTCTATTCTTCATTCTCCATTTATAATACATCATCAAGACCTGTCATTTCTGCCTCCTAAATATATCTTGACTCTGTCCTCTTCTCCCAATTTTCACTGCCACCACTCTTTCAGGACACCATCATCTCTTATATGAATTGCAGCAATAGTCTCCTTATTCAGTCTGCTTCCACTTTTGCTTCTCTCCAACCCTCCACACAGTAGCCAGAGTCATCTTTATTTCTTAATGTCTCTCTTTAAAAACTGATGTATAACAGCCAGGCGCGGTGGCTCACACATGTAATCCCAGCACTTTGGGAGGCCGAGACAGGCAGATCTCGAGGTCAGGAGATTGAGACCATCCTGGCTAACACAGTGAAACCGCGTCTCTACTAAAAAATAGAAAAAACTTAGCCGGGCGTGGTGGTGGGCGCCTATAGTCCCAGCTACTCAGGAGGCTGAGGCAGGAGAATGGCATGAACCCGGGAAGTGGAGCTTGCAGTGAGCTGAGATCGTGCCACTGCAGTCCAGCCTGGGCAACAGAGCAAGACTCCATCTAAAAATAAAAAATTTAAAAAAAAATGAGGCATAACATACATATAGCAAACTCTTTTAAAAATATAAATCAGATTATATCACTCCTCTGCTTAAGCTTTCTACTGCCTTGAGAAAAAAAAAAAAAACTCCTTACCATGATACATAAGTCCCTTCAATAATCTGATTTTTATTTCTTCTCCACTCTCATCTACAAATCTCCCTCTTACTATTATACTCCAACCATACAGGCCTTCTTTCAGATCCTCAAACACTCTTTGGAATTGTTTTTTTATTGTTGTTTGTTAGAGATAGGTTCTCACTCTGTCAACCAGGCTGAAGTGCAGTGGTGCAATCATTGCTTGATGTAACCTCAAACTCCTGGACTCAATCGACCCTCCTGTCTCAGCCTCCCAAGTGGCTGGGACTACAGGCCACCATACCTGGCTCCTTGGAGTTGTTTTTGCCTCAGGATCTTTACACATCTGGTTTGCTTTTGTCTTGAATGATTTCTCATCCATTCTTTTTTTTTTTTTTTTTTTTTTTTTTTTTTGAGACGGAGTTTCGCTCTGTCGCCCAGGCTGGAGTGCAGTGGCGCGATCTCGACTCACTGCAAGCTCCGCCTCCCGGGTTCACGCCATTCTCCTGCCTCAGCCTCCTGTGTAGCTGGGACTACAGGCACGCGCCACCATGCCCGGCTAATTTTTGTATTTTTAGTAGAGACGGGGTTTCACCGTGTTAGCCAGGATGGTCTCGATCTCCTGACCTCATGATCCGCCCGTCTCGGCCTCCCAAAGTGCTGGGATTACAGGCGTGAGCCTCTCATCCATTCTTAGCATGACTCCTCACTCTTCAAGTCTGTATTAAATGTAACCTCCTTGGAAAGGCATTCTATGACATTCCTAGCCAAGCAGCACCCCCTTGGCCTATTATTCTCTACCACTGTAAGATTCACAAAGGCAAAAAATGTATCTGTTTATTCACCAATGTATCACCAGTGCCTAGCACAATTCCTGGCCCATAACAGGTGTTTAGTAAATACTTGCTGGATGAATGAATGAAAGGACTGATGTGAGAAGTGAAAGTGGTACCCACTCTTTAGCAGACCAAACAACTCTCCAATGAGGCACTTTTGGGGTCCCTAAAGACAATGATGTAATGCATGTAAAGTACTAAGCTTGATCCTTAGCACAATGCAAGAATTCAGTAAATGGTATCACATATGGGCAATTATATATAATGCAGCTCTCAGGGCTTAGGAGACCAAGATAATGATACTGCAAATTTACAGCAGGCAGTGACGAGAGAGGGTAAGAAATTTTCTTCTCTCTTCCAAACCCTTTTCCTTACACCCTGGCAGAGCTGACACAATAGCACTTTAGGGATGAGAAACAAATTTTTTCTCTGAGACTAATGACTTTGATCTATCTAAGTTAATCAAATCTGCAATTGAGCTCAGCCAGAATCTGCCTGTTTACCTTTAAAATACAGGTCCTGTCTCTAAGAGACTGAGACAAAAGAGAGAAATGTATTTAAAAACCTCTGATTCGGCACCTAAAACTGGGTTTCAGCACCACTCCACAGTCCTTTAGTTGCCCTCAGAGCCCAAAATGGAAATTTTTCTTCAACCATAACCAGGACTCTGCATGAGGCCTAAGCACTGTCATCTGGAGATGCAGAACACAGAGATATGTTCATCTTGCACAGTTAAAGGACATTAATGGCTGTGTGTATTGGCAGAGGGAGCCCCTCACAGCAGGACTGCCAAGAGTTAATCCACTTTAACATGTCACTGAGCTTCCTGGTTCTATATGACTCAGCCTAAACTCCAGGAGGCAGAGATCTAGTCAGGTGCCTCCTCCACATGTCCAGCTTCCGCAGAGCAGAACAAGGTGTGGTCTCTCCAGTCCCTCACAGACCACTGTGCCTCACCTGTTCTGGTTGTTGTATAAAACAAACATCTCTGAGAGCTCAGCAGCATGTAGACTGTGACTCATTCCAGTAAAACAAAAGCTTAAGGATCTGACAAACACTGACTGACCTCCTAATCTGAATTCCTTTTGGTTAAGAGCACTCAAGACACTTGGCTGGCTTTGCCTATAAAATGTCATGCCTTTGGGGCAGAATCATGGAGATACTCCCTTTTGAAGAAGATGAAAACGGAAGAAGCACATTTCTACCCCTAACCCCAACCAGGGGCCAGTATCAGCAAATGATCAATCAAGGAAATGTTTCTTCTTTCAGTGCTGCCTCCTTTCCCTTCTAGGATCTCCGGCAAGTCCCCTCCCTTATGCTCCCAGGGTCCTAGCTCACCCTCAGGCAAAGACAAGACTGAGGATGCAGTCAAGACCCAAATGAATGGGCCTGTTAAGAGGCTAGAAGGAGGATTTCAGACACATATAAATCTGGTAGGGGTCTGAATCGTTAGGCAGAGCCCTTCCCAGACTACAGATTACAACCCAATAGGATTTAAAAGTTTATTTAACAGAATACGACCATAATTATACAAAATATGGTTTTGCTTTTTTATTGGATTAGCCGATATCTTCACAATTGGTAGGGATATATTTTAAAATCAGAACAACATATATTTTAATAAATGCATACAGATCTTCACTTCTACTTTAAAAACTGCCCTCTGGGGCCGGGAATGGTGGCTCACATCTAAAATCCCAGCACTTTGGGAGTCTGAGGCAGGTGGATCACTTGAAGCCAGGAGTTCAAGACCAGCCTAGGGAACATGGTGAAACCCCATCTCTACTAAAACTATAAAAATTAGCGAGACTGTGGTGGTGCACGCCTGTAATTTCATCTACTTGGGAGGCTGAGGCATAAGAATCACTCGAACCCGGGAGGCGGAGGTTTCAGTGAGCTGAGATTGCACCACTGCACTCCAGCCTGGGTGACAGAGCAAACAAACAAAAAACCCTGCCCTCTGGAAGTAGCTGGCCACTTCATGTAATCCTATAATCCAATTTGGGCACTTCCCTTAGGCACTGCCCAGGAATCTTTTTGGCAAAATTTCCAGCTTTCCTCTTTCATGCTAAACTAACCCTGGCTGCCTGAGTTGATGGAGTTGAGCCTCAGGGACTAGGATTGATCAGGTCAGAGTCTTTGCCAAGGCAAATGCCAGGAAAGGGCCAGAAGATTGTGAAGCAAATGCCAGGCCTGTTAAACTCACCCTCATCTGCATTTGGAACTGTTCTGTTAAGGCCAGGAGGGCTTTTCTGATTTACACTGACTTTCCCTAATAGAACATAAACTCATTTTGACCAAGGATACTATTTTCAGGAAAGCTCTCAGAGGGGCATGTGCTGGAGGGTGTTGGAGGGTGTTCACTTTTCTGATCTTCTCTTCATCTTGCTTTGTTCTCTTTCTGTTCTTGAGGACTTGCCCTGGTTCTCTCACTAGTGCATAGTCCTGGGCCATTTACATAAATATCTCTGAGCCTCAGTTTCCTCATCCATAAAATGGAGATGATCCCCTTCCTGTCTACATCACAGGGTTGTCGATGTAGTTAACATTTACTGTGCCCTTCCTATGTGTGTGCAACAGAGTTAAACAAATCTGCACGTCGTATAGGTTTTGGTCCTGACAAGAGCCCTATGAAGTAGACATTTCTAGTATCTCTGTCTGTGTTATGTGTCTGTTTTATAGATGAGGGGACTAAGGACTAATGGTCACATGGTCACTAACTGGTGGATCCTGGGACTCAAATCTAGGGAGTCTGACTCCAGCTAGGAGACTCAGATCCTGAGCTGTATAACAAGGTCATCCTTTGAAAATGCTAAAGCGTTATACAAATGTGCCAATTATTATGGTTATTGCCTGTTTTGTTACTACTATTTGGGAGGCACAGAGATGCCAGCAGGAGCCCTAAGCCAGAATGAGTTGAAAGGAGTGGAGGTGGGGGAAGGGGTGCGGATGCAGCCCGGCCTCCAGGTTTCGGCCCCGCCCCTTTGCTCCCCATTCATCCCTTTGTTACCAGCTCTGGGATTTCAGTGCTGAGGTTAATAAAGAGCTTCCAGAAAACCCATCATTTTGATTAAAGCCGGGGACTATCTTGCCAGACAGCACTCTGGAGCCTGCCTACCGCCCACTCTGCTAAGTCAGTGCAGCCGGCAAAGGCTATTAAATGATTATAGCCGTTTCCGGCCCAGCCCCTGGACTGCTCGTTCTTTGGCGCTGGCGGCTGCTGCTGCCTCTGGATGCCCAGGAAAGAGTCAGGGCACCGAAGGCTGTGCAGATTCTGTGTTTGCAAGTGAACTTCCAGGCTTTCCGCGCAGAGACACCCCGCCTCTCCCTCCTCCTTATTTCCGCTCACCACCCAAGTCAGCCACTGCAGTCTTTTTCAAACAGCCCCGATTTCTTTGCTCCTTCTTGGTTTTGGGCATCAATTTAATCAACCTCTCTCTCTGTCTCCCTCTCTGTCAGAATTTGGCCGATTGTAGAATGATAGTATATACTCAGGCTGACCAAAAGGCAAAAACCATCCGCCATCAACCACTGAAACAGCCCAGGTTGTAAAATATCTCAAGCTCCTTCCCCGCCCCCTATTTCGCCATCTGTGGGGTTTGTTGGACCGACTGGACAAGCTCCGCCTTCTCCCACACCTTCACCCCCAACCCCCGCCAGTCCTTTATGAATTGGGCAAACCTAATCTGAGTAATCACAGCCCACAAAACACAGGAGAATCGTGGTCTGAAACCCAAATCCTGTCCAGGATCAGAGAGAGAGGGAGAAAGCTAAGCCCACCTGGGCTAGCATTTCCAGCACTTCCCCGCTGCTGCTTAGTCCTTCAATTGACAGTGGAAAGACTTTTCCATGGAAACAAGGGAATGTAAAAATATACTCCCTGTTCTCTGTAGGATCTTAGGCTCTGTAATCAGAATAGTAGGCTTAAACCTGGCTACATCATGTAAATTATGGTGATGTTTGGCAAATTATTTCATATCTCTGGGCCTCAGTTTTCATCCGTAAAAAAAGTTCATAAGAGTGCCCGCCCCATAGGGTTGATTTATAGATTAAATGTAACTATCCTTATACAGCACATAGCATAAGTGCATGGTGCAAAGTAAAAACTCGTTAAATTTTACTTATTAAGATCAGAGCAACAGAAGATTCATTTGTTTAAGGACTATTGATTGCTTATTATGGATTAGACAGTTTATGGGGTATTTTGCATGTATTTAATTTTAAATGATTTAATTACAATTAATTAAAGCTATTATTATAAGTGTATATCTAAATACATATTTAAAGCATATTTATTTTATAAAAAAGGAATATGAAGGCTTAAATTACAGCAAGATAATTTGTCCTAAATCACACAGGATTTTTTTTTTTAGAGACAGCGTCTATATCTGTTGCCCAGGTTGGAGTACAATGGTGAGGTCATGGCTGACTGCCAGACTGGATCTCCTGGACTCAAGTGATCCTCCCACCTCAGCCTTCTGAGTAGCTAGGAATACAGGTGTGCGCCACTATGCCTGGCTAAGATTTTTTTTTTTTAATATACAGAGATAGGGGCCAGGCACAGTGGCTCATGCCTGTAATCCCAGCACTTTGGGAGGCAGAGGCAGGTGGATCACCTGAGGTCAGGAGTTCGAGACCAGCCTGCCCAACATGGTGAAACCCTGTCTCTACTAAAAATACAAAAATTAGCTGGGCATGGTGGCAGGCACCTGTAATCCCAGCTACTCGGGAGTTTGAGGCATGAGAATCACTTGAACCCTGGAGAAGGAGGTTGCAGTGAGCCGAGATCTTACCATTGCACTCCAGCTTGGGCAACAAGAGCAAAACTCTGTCTCAAAAAAAAAAAAAAAAAAAAAAATATATATATATATATATATATATATAGAGAGAGAGAGAGAGAGAGAGAGAGAGAGAGAGACAGAGAGAGACAGAGAGAGAGATAGGGCCTTGCTGTGTTGCCCAAGCTGGTCTTGAACTCCTGGCCTCAAGCAATATTCCCACCTCTGCCTCCCCAAAGTGCTAGGATCACAGGTGTCAGCCACCACATTCAGCTCCACACAGGCATTTGATAATGAAGGTGAAAAACTATTCTCACATTGACTCCTTGGCTCAATAATCAAATAGTTTTTGTTTGTTTTGTTTACTTCTTGTGAAGCCTTGGGGATGAGGGAAGAGACGGAGTTGAGCTCCATTCACAGGCCTAGCATTGTGATCTACAGAGCAGCTGGGAGAGTGGTGTGTGTGTGATTGGATGTCAGGCTTAGCAATGGGGAGGCCAATCTAATACCACTACCCAGAGGCCGCTAGAGCTGCTACTCCTGGGTATTTCACCCTCTTTGGGTGGAATGAGTTGAGCTGGAAGAAGATTTTTTGGCTGTTTGGTGTCCCAAGCTACAGCTGGGCTAATTTTCAGTAATCTTGGAGCGGAAGAGATAAATACACTTGGCATATTTTTAAAGCCACAGCTCTTGCTTTGTGCCCAAAATAACTCTGCCATTTCTAGGTTAAGAGTATAAAGACATCATGTGCTGCGAACCCAGATTCAAACATTGGAATGGCTGGTCTCCGTAGTTAGCTAAAAAAAAATCACATTTCTTCTTTCTGTGAGCCCCCCGCAACCCAGCAGGGCTCAGGCTGCACAGTTTTCTCTACCTTGTTTCCTGGTTGATAAGGTCCCCCAGGATGTAGGGAAGGCAATTTCCCTTTATAGTCTCTTCTCAAAATACCCCCTCTTCATTGGCTGTCATATCCAGGGGGTAACAAAATGCTTAAAATGTAGGTTCTTGGGTAACATAGACTTGAGTTGGAATCTGCTTCACCACTTATTCGTTGAACGAATAAGAGGCAAGGTACTTGGCCTCTTAGCTCCCATTCTTTCATATGCAAAACAAAGATAACAATAACCATCTAATGGGATTGTGAACATTAAAAAGAGACAAGGCTTATAAATCACACAGATCAATGTCTGTCATGAAGAAATTCTGAAATAAAGAATGGGTATTACTACTATGCAGTATTCCTTTACTAATCCAACTCCCACTTTAACCACCTATTCTCAAATGTAGTACTTCCAGAAATTCTCTTTTCCAAGGACCCTCTCCCCATCAGGCTCTTTTCCTTCTAGGGGACTGAAGACTTCCGGCTGTGACATTTTCCAGCTTAGAAATGGTTGCTAGGTTACTCTCCATAGCCCTCTGAAGGAGGAAGTGAAGGAGACTACTTAGGCATGGTGGAAAGCACACTGGACGAAGTATCAAAAGTCTTGGGTTCAAATCTCAGCTCCAGCATTCTGCTTTCTACTATTTTCTAGGATACTATTTGATTAACATTGACTTACAGTTTCTTCATCTGTAAAATGGATATAATAGCTACCTCCCGGAGGCATTGTTATTTATTCAACTAAACTTATTATTTACAAGGCCAGGCATGTGGCTCACACCAGTAATCCAGCACTTTGGGAGGCCAAGGCAGGCAGATCACCTGAGGTCAGGGGTTCCAGACCAGCCTGACCAACATAGTGAAACTGTGTCTCTTCTAAAAATACAAAATTAGCCTAGCGTGGTGGTGCAAGCTTGTAATCCCAGCTACTTGGGAGGCTGAGGCAGGAGAATCACTTGAACCCAGGAGGCAGAGGTTGCAGTGAGCTGAGATTGTGCCATTGCACTCCAGCCTGGGCAACAAGAGCAAAACTCTGTCTCAAAAAAAAAAAACTTATTTACAATAAATTAGACATTAAATTAGGAATTAGGGATATAAATATGAATAATATTAGGACAAGTACCCTGTTCTCAAAGAGTTACAGCACAGTGGGAGGAAAAGACAAGTAAATGAATAAATACAATAATAGTGTTAAAGGATAAACCAGGTAGATAAACTTTGGCATAAAGATGGCATTAAACTTTCTAGAGACGGTGTGTGCAGTGGTTAAGAGCACAGACTCAGAAGTCAAACAATCCTGCTTCAGATCCTGGTGCCCTTACTAAATGTGTGATCTGATTTAATCCTATGGGTGTCAGTTTTCTTAGCAGTAAAATGAGTATAATAATGCACAAATTTCTGGGTGTGGTTATACAGATTAAAGGAGTTAATACTTGTAAAGTGCTTAGAATAATACTTGGCACATGGCTTAACTGTTCAGTACAGGTTAGCTATTATGATTCACAAGTAAATTTTCTCCTCTGTTTGCTCTAGCATTTTCAACTGCAGAGGCTAAGTCTGTTGATGATGATGTCACTGAGTTAAGTGACATATAGCACTAGCTCGAGGTGGGGATGGAAGGCTCAGAGGGAAGTATGTAACAAGTGCAGTCCAACCACAGGTACGTGAATGCCAATTTGCCAATTTGATATTTTTATATCCTATGATTCTGTAATTCTACTTCTTGAAATTTATCCTGTATAAATACTAGCAAGCATGCATAAGAAATATGTATAAGAATGTATATTGTATTGTTTAGAAAACATAGATACCAACAGCAAATTGGATAAATTATAATATAGGTATACAACATAGTGCTATATCCTTACTCAAGAAGATTGTGGCAAATCTATATGTACTGACGTAGAAAGGTGTTTGTTAACATACACACACACACACACACACACACACACAAGCTGTATAATAATACATATTGCATTATCCCATTTTGCTTTTTGAAAATCTCTATATAGTCATGCGCCCCATAATCATGTTTCAGTCAACAACGGACCACACATATGACAGTTGTCCTGTAAGATTATAATAATGTATTTTTATTGTACTTTTTCTGCGTTTAGGTATGTTGAGATACACAAATACTTATCATTGTGTAAAAATTGCCTACAGTATTCAGTATAGTAACATGATATACAGGTTTGTAGCCTAGGAGAAATAGGCCATACGATAGAGCCTAAGTGTGTAGTATGCTATATCATCTAGGTTTATGTAAGTACATTCTATGATATTTGTACAACGAAAAAACTGCCTAAAGACACATTTCTCAGTGTATCCCCATTGTTAAGTGATGCAAGAAATATTTGGAAGAGTGAACCCTAAAGTAAACATGGAAGTTGGGTGGTAATGATAGTTTCAATAATGATGTCAATATAGTTTCATCAATTGTCATGAATGTACCACTCTGGGCAGGATGTCACTGTGGCGGGGGTGTGGGGGCATTGTGTATGTGGGAGAGCAGGAGTGCATGAGAACTCTGCACTTTCTACTCAACTTTCCTGTGAACCTAAAACTGCTCTAAAAAGTAAAGTTCATTAATTTCAAAAAAATATTGGAGGATACACACAAAATTGTTAACAGTGGTTGCTTCACCAAAGGGGAGTGGGATTGAGGGAAATAAATATTTCTATGCAAAAATGCTATATTTTTTAATATTTACTTCAACAATGTAATTCTATTTTATTTAAAAATACATTAAAATGTAGGCATATAAAGAATTCTGAAGATGCACGCTAAATTATTGGTAGTGGTTACTTTTGGAAAGCATGATTGGATGTAGGGAGTGAGGCACTACTCATTTTATTTTAGTCCTGCACAGATATAATTTGTTATGACTTTTGTTTCTTCTGTAATTAAATCAAAGAGATAGAGGTTCAGAAGAATACTAGCCCAACATGGTTCAAAAACTAGCCTGCACCCAGGATTAACTACATAATTTGCAGGAACCAGTGAAATTTGCCAAATGAAAATGGGGGGAGGCGGCCCTTGTTAACAAATTATCAAGAACTTCAAGATAGTGACAGCATAATATCAAAACACACAGGGCCTTTCTAAATGCTGGGCCCCAAGAAGCCAGACTTGCCCAGGCCTGAGCACTACTGGGTTCCTCCCTTAGCACCACAACTTGACACTGACTATTCCCAAAGTTTTCACACTGCCTGCCCCACCTGAAACTCTATGAGGCATTATTTCAGCCGACAACAAAATGGCTTCTGACTTTGGTTGGGTTTTCAAACTTTTCTTCTCTACCCTCCCCCCTTACTTTGTTACAATCTGTGCTTCTTGAAATTTGGCAGCAATCCCAGGCTCTGTGTTGCTGTCACTTCTCAGCCTTGAGCAACCATTTCTAGACAAGTAGTGATATCCTTGCATTGAGGGTATAAAATGGAGGTGCTGTCAGCACATTGCAGTATAAGGAAGGCAAGATAATGGGAGAACCCTCTACACCACCCTGCACACTTCCATACCATTCCATGTAATCTAGCAAAAACATCTTGAATCCTCTTTACTGTGTGCCAAGCACTGTGTTAAGTGCTAGGAGCATTAAACTGAGTAGTAATAGTTCTGACGACATTTTTGAGTGGCTACCATGAACTAAGCATGGTTCTAAGCATTTTGCGTGCATTATGTCATTTAATACTTACAACAGCCTATGGTCTCTCCTCTTTTATACATTGATAAATCTGAAGCACAGGTTGCACAATTATTAAGTGATACGATAGAAATGTGAGGCACTGTGCAATGCCAGGCTATCTCCCTTCAGAAACTAACATGAGACAAATTTTAAACCTGCCCTTCACTCTCCACATTTTCTCAGACATGATATACCAAATCCACCAGGATTACCTAAGAACATTTCCAAGCCCAGCCCTTTATTTAACAATTAAAAAAAATGCTGCATTTACTTCCCTTTTCGATTCTCCTTTTCTAAACACTCCAAAGTTTCCAATATTTGGTTTGGGAGAAGAAAAACACTAAGTTAAAAGCTCATAGCTCATCTTGACATATTATTCAGTACAGTGATCGCCCCTTATTTGAGGTTTGATTTCTGAGGCTTCAGTTACCCACAGTCAACCTTAGTCTGAAAATATTAAATGAAAAATTTCAAAAATAAACAATTCATAAGTTTTAAATTGCAAGCTGTTCTGAGTAATGTGATGAAATCTCGAGCCATCCCGCTTTATCCTGCCCAGTACGTGAATCATCCCTCTGTCCGACCTATCCATGCCGTCTACACTACTCACCTGTTAGTTCACTTAGAAAGTGTCTTGGTATCCGACTGGCTGTTTTGGTATCAAAGGGCTTGTATTCAAGTACCCTTATTTTACTTAATACTGGCCCCAAAGCACAAGAGTATTGTGCCTAATTTATAAATTAAACTTTATCATAGGTGCACCTATGAAAGAACATAATGTATATAAAGGTCAGTACTAAATGAGGTTTCAGGCATCCACTGAGGGTCTTGGAATGTATCTCCACAGATAAGTTTGGATTGCTGTAGGTTGATTTTTGAAAATTCAGTAGAGTTAAGGAAACTTAAAAGAATCTTCTTTCCTAAATATAAACAAACCAACTAACCTTCTAGTGGGTCTCCATGGCCAACAAATGAAACTACAAATTATTTAGCAGGATGTTTAAGGTCCTACAAAATCTGATTCCAGTCTACATTTCTGATCTCATTTCCTAACATCTCTTTATTCTACCACATCCATCAAATGCACTCATCTTATTAACCCAGACTACACAATTCAGTTTTTTGTATTTTGTTTTTGCATGCACGCATTGTTTCCTTTGCCTGGAATTCTCTTCCTCTCCACATCCTACTTGCCATCCTGCAATACCCAGTATTTTAAATTTTTTTTTGAGACAGGGTCTCATTCTGTCACCCAGGCTGGAGTGCAGTAGTGTGATCTCAGCTCACTGCAACCTCCACCTTCCAGGTTCAAGTGACTCTCGTGCCTCAGCCTCCCAAGTAGCTGAGACTACAAGTGCATGCCACCACACCCGGCTAATTTTTATATTTTTTTTGTAGAGATGGGGTTTTGCCATGTTGCCCAGGCTGTTCTCAAACTCCTGGGTTCAGGCAATCCACCCGCCTCAGCCTCCCAAAGTGCTGGGATCACAGGTGTGAGCCACTGCGCCCGGCCTCAATATCCAGTATTAAATGTCAAATAATCTCTGACTTAGTCCCCTGAATTTCCAATTCCATCTTCTGAGGTCCCACAACATCCACTGTTCATGGTTGCTGAGAGTGTTTGGGCCCTGTGAAAACAATCTGGGGACTGTCTCAAGAAAGGCAGCCTAGCTTACCTTATTTACCTAGGGTTTGAATTGATTATAACATAGACAGACCCTGGGTCCCATTCTGGACCAACAGGCCCTGGTGGTTTGTCCCAGCTTCCTTCCCCTTCGTTGACCCTACCTACGTAGGGCATTATTGTCGCCCTTATCACATGACAATGTAATATTTCCATCATATTTCTTTACATTTCTCCCTTCACCATTAGATTTATAAGGGCAGGACTGTGTTATATTTAATATTATATCTGCATCACCTAGAACAGAGCCTGGCCTGACCTAAGTGCTTAATAAATGTTTGATGATGACTACAGTCATGTATCACTTAACAATGGGGATATGTTCTGAGAAATGCATCACTAGGCATTTTTGTTGTATGGACATCATAGAGCGTACTTACACAAACCTAGATGGCATAGCCTACTACATACCTAGGCTATATGGTATAGCCTATTGCTCCTAGGCTACAAACCTGCACAGCATGTTACTGTACAAAATACTGCGCAATTGTAATATAATGGCAAGTATTTGTGTATCTAAACATAGAAAAGGTACAGTAAAAATATGGTATTACAATCTTATGGGACAGCTGTCACATATGTGGTCCATTGTTAACCAAAGTGTCATTATTTGGTACACGACTATATATAGAGGGTCCCAACAAAATTCTCTATTGGAGCCAAGCCAAGAAAAGCATCCCTAGAAAGGATACTATATACTTCACTTCTCTATCTCTCTCTCTCTCTGTCTCTCTCTCCCCGTGTGTGTGTGTGTGTGTGTGTGTGTGTGTGTGTGTGTGTGTGTGTGAGAAAGAAAGAAGGAGAACAGGAATGAATAAGGATTTTAAAAGAGAAATGCTGATGAAGGTGGTTAATGATGGAGTTTCAGGGACCCGGCTGGGAGGTAGTTTTTGTGAGGATCTTCGTAGTGCCCTTCAAATCACAAACACTTAGAAGGTATTATCCTGGAGGCAAGGTTGTGACCCTGGGCAAGAAAAGACCAAAGAAGCTAATTTATATATCTAAATCCCCAGATTCAGAGAGAACATACCAAAAAGCTAAAAAAATTAGCTTTAGTGAGTTTCCCTCTAAAGAAATTTCCCAAAGGCAAATATTTAGAATCCATTTATACTTGTTGCAACAGAAGGAAATTGATGTGACACTGACCGCTGAATAAACATAGCCCTGCTGATTGCAGACTGCAGGAACAGCAGTTGGATTGACATCTTGATGACACACGGAGCCCACAGGGGATGCTGGACTCTGGGGAGGCTCTTTCATGGGTCCCATGGCCTAATCATTGTCAGCAGTATAAGGGGTGATTTAATCTCCAGTCAGAGCTGCTGTAAGTATGGAGAGGGCCTAAGCTTTGGAGATATCCAGCTTGTTTAGAATATCAAGGAGGGAGCTAGAGTGAAACTGGTTGTTATACAAAATGTTCCCAAAAAACAAACACATCCTTAGATACATATGGATCCATAAAATTGACCCTGAACCATCCCACCCTCCTATCCCCAACACAGGAAGCATCACAGGAAAAGCAGGTGGGATTTACGAATACTGGCAGGAACATTACCCACCCCTCAACCCCTAACACACACATACACACCAATCAGGCTCTTTCTTCTATTTTCCAGGGAAGTTCTGGATATAATCTGCTTTCACTTAGACACAGACGCTAGATGCATACAAGGCAGGCAATATGTGTTGCCCCATCTCCTGGCATCACTTGTGACAGTGACTTTTCCATTAGCTACCATGCCCCAGGATTGAATCCTTACAGATTGGCCTCTGGGTGATCTAAAGAGTACTGTCCTCTGCTGCCTGCTCCCAACTCTTGGAACAATATTCTTAGACCTGGGGCAGAACAATATCTCTAAGTCCAGAACACAATAATGTAATGGGAACCATTTTTCTCCTCTCTCCACATTTCCATCTTTGCTCTTAGAAAAGGGAATGCCCACCAAAACAATACTCCCATCCTTTGCAGGGATGTGCTACGAAAAGAACTTTCATCTTTAGCTCTACTTCCTTCCTTACTCTTCCCAGGAAGGGAGAGTAGTTTATCTGATTGGATAGATCACTGAAAGCATGATTTAAATGGATCACACTTCTTGATTGAGCAAAGTTAGCATCATCAGTCACTGTTCTTCCATGACACATCTCACCTTAATTCTCTTTCTCTACTCTAGCTCATTCTCTACTGAAATTAACTTACACACACACACACACACACACACACACACACACACAGAGCCACCTCTGCCTGAACATGAAAGACCGGGTGGTAGGCAGAATAATGGCCCCACCAAAATGACTGCATTCTAATTTTAGAACTTGTGAATATGTTATGTTACATGGCAAAAGGGATTTTGTGTTAATTTGTTATGGCAGCCCTAGGAAACTAATACAGATTTTGGTATCTGGAAGTGCGGTTCTGCCGTTATAAATGCCTAAAAATGCGGAAGTGGCCTTGAGATTGGGAAATGGGCAGAGTCTAGAAGAATTTTGAAGAGCATGATAGAAAGAGCCTACATTACCTTGAACAGGCTGCTAGTAGCAATATGCATATTAATGGCTCTACTAGAGAGGACTCAGAAAAAAGTGAGGAGCAAACCTAAATTGTCATGAACAGATTGTTATTACAAATATGGCATTAAAGGTGCTGCCAGTGAGGGCTCAGGTAGAAATAAGGAGCCTGTTATTGGAAACTAAAGGAAAGTGGATCCTTGTTATATAGTGGCAAGAACACACCTTGATTTTAGCCAGTGAAACTCACTGTGGACTTCTGACTTCCAGAACTGTAAGATAATACATTGTGTTGTTTTAAGCCATGAAGTTTATGGTTAATTTGTTATAGCATAATGGGAAATAAATACAGACACCCTACAGTTGGCCTAGAACTCAGACAGTAAATAGTCTTTTCCAAGTTACCAAGCTATTCCCTTCATGTATCATGCGGGACAAGATAATAGTAATGTGTTAAGTGTATAGAGTTCAGCAGCAAGCAGACATGAGTTCAAATACTGCCTTTACCACTGCATTTATTAATGAATTTAACAAAATTTATTGAGCATCATTGTGTGCTAGGCATCCTGCTTGACAATGGGAATACAATGGTGAGCAAAAAACATTTTTACTAGCTGTGTGAATGTAAGAAAGCCACTTAATTCTTATGAGCTTTAATTTTTTTATCTGAAACATGGGAATAATAATGTACTTCTCTCAAAGTTAAGTATGCAACATATGTAAAGTGCTTATCACAGTTCTCAATAAATGGTAGCTATTGTCTTCCTTT
The DNA here is from genome assembly GCF_000001405.40 of Homo sapiens. Taxonomy (NCBI): domain Eukaryota; kingdom Metazoa; phylum Chordata; class Mammalia; order Primates; family Hominidae; genus Homo; species Homo sapiens. The sequence goes on along the minus strand of NW_025791778.1, from coordinate 226,148 downwards.
CTCTTGTTCTAAGAGACTATTTCTACAGTCCAGGAGGCAACAGTATGGGATTTAAAGACTTATAAAACTTGACCCAGCAACGACCCACTCACTGGAACATACACTTAAAATACAATGTCCTCAGGGCTCTATTTTTGCTAATAGGCTTTAGCTGAGAGAAGGGAGCTTCTTCTGTATTCCATGGTTCATCGTCCAACACAGAGCCAAATTTACAGGCTCAAAGGTATCCACCCTAGGGCTGTTGATATACCTAGTGATGCTCTTATCCCCATAAATCTGGACTCTCCGAAAGCAGCTTGGTGTGCATCTAATGTAAATCATTCATACTGGCTGAGGCTTCTAGTCTTACCACAGACCTTTACGGTATTCATCTGACTCCAGGTGATTATAGGAAAAGAGATCGAACAGGTGTGTGTTCTTGGGTAATACAGTATCTATGATGCACAGTCAAAAAAGACAAGAGAGAAGACTTGGGGAATGTCACCTCACTATTCAGCTTGATACATGATACCACCTACAGCAACAGCTCTGGACACAAGATTGGGTCAATGCTGGTTGAAAGCCCAAGCTGGTGAACCTTCTTGGAACATCACCAACAAATTTGCTTTATTAGATTTTCTGTACAGGGCAGGCTTTACTTATTTTTAAAGTTTGTTTGGTTGGTTTTTTACAGACAATGGCATCGATAATCTCAAGACCCGGGGTACATTGTTTGGTATCCAGCAGACAAGGAATACAACGCTAGTTACAATAAACTTCTCTTTGTTCTCTTTCGGGTCCACATTTGGTTCTTAAAAGTCACCTTTTCATACCCTAACTTTCTATTATTATGCCTCTTGAGTCTGACTTCTACAGAGCTCTCAATTTCCTGTTTCAATAGTAGCACAAGCATCCTTTGTCCCCCTTATTTCCTTTAAGTATTACCATCTTCAGGACTGACTTCTCCCATCCTTTGCCTAGCCCACGCCCTTGGAGATAGACAATTTCAGGCAGGGCTGTTGCTGAGGAAGCTCTTGGTCTCACCGAGAAAAACGTGGAATGTCATCTATCTCTGCTCTCCCTCTTTTTCTGATTGTGAATAACGGAGACTCCAAGTGCTGAGGCAGAGAAAGATTCCTCTCCAGTCCACACACTCATTGACAGGCTTCCTGGCAGTGACCAATCTTATGGCCCTTTCCTGGGGGCCTCTAGTCTCTAGCCAGTGCTTGAACTGAATATGTTTCTCCAGATTAGGCAATGGCCTTTTCAACTGCAAAGCTGACTGCCTCTGAAGATAAAATTTTCACGTTCCTTTGAAATCTGGGCAGAGTTTCTTTTAAAATATTGCCATGAAAGACCCTTGCTGTCACTAGGACAGACTTTCATTTTTAGTTTACTTGTGTCAGTGAGGCTGAGGACAGGGCTTGCCGGAGCCACAAAACGTAAAGGAATTACAAACTATCTTCCTCCTCTGCCCTCAACTCAGGTTATAAGCAGGTCTTTCTTGTTCAAGCACCTCCCAGGAGGAGTTCCAAGCCTAACAATTCTAAACAACCTCAGCAATTTTTCCCACAGAGTGAAGTGCAGACTCTCCACCCTCCATATCATCTTTCCCACAAAGCTCTCAGTCACACAGGTGACCTATCACCTTTGAGCTGAGTCAGGTGGCAAAGTTGGTGAGACCCTACTTCCTTGGCCCTTTGTGACACTGAGATGTCCCCAGCAGAAACTTGAATCTCCCTTTTGACAAGGGGCTTAAAACTTCAGCTACAAAGAATGGTGTATAAAGAAAGCTAGAAGGGAGGGTAATTCAGAAACTCTCCTGTTTTATGCAACACTCTTAAACAAAAGAAGGGATAAAGTGTCTTATTTTTCTAAGATATATTCAAAAGTTGTTTCTCCTGACAAGGTTTTCAGAGGCCAGACTGTATTGCCTCAATGTAGCTGGCATATTAAAGGAATCAATGATAACTGAAGAAACTATAATAAGTCTCTATTTCCTTACCCTGCATTAGCCTGCTTCTCTCCATCGTGGGGCTTGAAGGAAACTGCAGCCTAAGAGAACAGTGTTGTTCTATTCTCCTCACTACACCCTCTAAAATGTTATATCCAGGATCGTACATCTGAGTGCACATGAGACTGGATAGGTTTCAGGAGACACGTGATCTCTGTTTGGGGCTACTGTTACGGAAGAAATTCTTCTATTATGTATCATGGTCTTAACCATGACTGTATTCTGCCCAGGCCACCAATCCTAGAATAATTACTATGGGGCAAATGAGAGGTCCAAGAAAATACAGAGCGTCTAGGGAAAGAATTATCTTAGAGTCTATTCATAAACAAAAATGTTTAATTTCAGAAAACCAGGACATCTCCATTCTAGTCTTTTATTTACATGACCATTAAAAGTGGAAGGTACAGAGTGTTTTCCCAAGAAGAAGATGAAGAAAGTCATGAATGGATGGAGCCAGCAGAGACTTAAGTAAGCTTCATGGCTTCTCCTAGGTAGGGGATGCTAATTCCCCTTCCCACACCCTTGCTTCCTCCCTTCAGGTCAATCCAAAACAAACAAATTCTTTACATAAGCTGCGAAGAGAACTCTGGCAAACACAATGAGTTTCACAACCCCAGAAAGTAAAAGTGCATCTTAAAAGGACTTACTTTCCTCGGGTAGAGAAAGCCAAGCCAAGCTGGCACTCCTGGGCTGTCAGATGGCAGGTGACAGCGAAGGATACTCACAGGCGGGAGCTGCCCCACTCACATAGATCCCTGATCTCATTTTTTTTTCCTAATAAGGATATGCACACACCTCCCAGGACTGTCATTGCTATGACAACGGCAGAAGTTGAGGTTGAACAGGTTAGTGGAACAGCATGCTTTCTAAATTCTCCAACAAGGCCCGAGGCTGCACTCACTCATGAAATAGAAAAATTCATGTTGACAGTGCTCCTAAACAGATTCTAAAAAACTTAAGAATCATGCTTTCTTTCTGGGGAAGGATCAGAGATGGAGTCTCCATGGAGTCTTTCCATGGGGAGTTGGTTTTGTCAGACAGGTAAGAATCCTTGAGACAATTAAGAATATAAATCCCCATATAAAACTAGGGCACATAAACTGTCCATTTTCCACAGAGTAAAGAGATGTGGCAAATCAGGGCAAAAGCAATCCCCTAAGGAAACAAAGAGACAGGCACTTTAAAAAAATCTTCTCTATAGCAGATTCTTCCCACAGAGAATACTCAGAACAACCTGGGTCTAAATTTTGAAGCTGTAGGATAGACTCATACCTGGAAAAATCATTTAAAAATAGCTACTATTTACTAAACCCTGATTGTTCTTCAGATTCTGCAATATGTGTGCATTATCTCATCTAATTCTTCCAAGAACCCTATAAGGTAGACACCACTATTCTCCCCATTTTATAGAGAAAGAAACTGAGAATCAGGAAAGTTAAGTAATGGTCCCAGGAACATACAATTACTGAGTGGCAGAGGTAGAATTCAGAAAGGGTCACTGACTCCCAAGCTTGAGCTCTTAACAATTATCTCTCGGGCATGGGGAAAGGCCCCCTGCTTCTCACAAGAACCATAAACAGATGGCTTCCTTGCATGCATTCTGACCCTGTAATGATATAAGACAACCTCAGGAATATTTACCTTAGACCAGTTCTTAAAACTTCACAGTACATTGGTATCACATAGAAGGCTTGTTAAAACATAGACTGCCGGGTCCCATTCCTGAGAATGTCTTTCTTTCTTTATTTATTATTTTTTTTTTTTTTGAGATGGAGTCTCACTCTGTCACCCAGGCTGGAGTGCAGTGGTGCAATCTCAGCTCACTGCAACCTCCACCTCCCGAGTTCAAGCAATTCTCCTGCCTCAGCCTCCCGAGTAGCTGGGATTACAGGCACCTGCCACCACGCCCAGCTCATTTTTGTAACTTTAGTAGAGATGGGGTTTCGCCATGTTGACCAGGCTGGTCTCGAACTCATGACCTCAAGTGATCTGCCTGCCTTGGCCTCCCAAAGTGCTGGAATTACAGGCATGAGCGACCACACCCAGCCTCCATCCTGAGAATTTCTGATTCATTAGTCTAGGATAGGGCCTAAGAATTTGCATTTCTAACAAGTTTCCGGGTATTGTTGGTGTTGCTGCCCCTTTGAGAACCATTGTCTAAACCAAAGTTCTCTAACTAAGACTCACTGCCTTAGTGGCTTCCGCTACCTAATTAATCTTTCACTGTTTAGTCCCAGATCCCCTGGGGTCTTGAGAAGCTATAATGTTATCTTCTGCAGTGCTGTGTGTTTTGAAACTTTCTGAACTCTTCTGAAAACTGTGAGCATCTCCCACTCTAAAACTAATGTACTGTTGCCTTAGGTAAGGCCTGAGATCCCTTGAAATGTAGAAAGAGGAGCTGGAAAAACCAATAACAGATAACAAAGCAGCCTGGCCCACTGAAGCCAGGCCAGTTCCCTCACAGGCAGGGGCAGTCCTTTTATAACCTGGGATTGCCCTAGGAACTGATCACAAGAGGGCATTCATTAAAACCTCTTCAGGGCATTAGTACTCATGAAGTTAAAAAGAGCTGTAACATGAGCGACTGGCCCTTTAATGTCCCTCCCCCCAAAACGCATTCCTCCATCTGAAGAAGAGGCTGCAACTGTATTCCCTGCATTCCTGATTTAGCTAATTTTCTCTCTCTGCTCAGTCTCAAGGGAAGCTGAAAGGAAATAAGAAAGCCTGTGGTCCGGGTCTGCTCACACAGAGGGGAGGCTAGAGAAAGGGGCCAGTAATCAGGATTAACCAATTTAATGCCTGACTTGTTTATCCTGCAGAAAACATTACTTGGTGATGCCCTTGTTGATCCTTTCAGAGTGTGGCATCTTTATCTTAGGCTTTTGCAGACTGTGAAAATAAATGAACAGTTTCTTTAAAAAGCAAAAGAATTCATCAGTGAGGCCAGGCGCAGTGGCTCACGCCTGTAATCCCAGCACTTTGGGAGGCTGAGGTGGGCGGATCACGAGGTCAGGAGATTGAGACCATCCTGGCTAACACAGTGAAACCCCGGCTCTACTAAAAATACAAAAAATTAGACGGGAGTGGTGGCGGGCGCCTGTAGTCCCAGCTACTCAGGAGGCTGAGGCAGGAGAGTGGCATGAACCCGGGAGGCAGAGCTTGTTGTGAGCTGAGATCGTGCCACTGCACTCCAGCCTGGGCGACAGAGCGAGACTGTCTCAAAAAAAAAAAAAAAAAAAAGGAATTCATCAGTGAAGGAAAAATAACTTTAAGAAACACATATGAACGAGGATTAGCGTAAGGCAGGCCCCACTTCCTTTATTCAGCCATTGCAAGTGTTGGGATGAGAAGAGCAATACACAGCTGGTTCACGGAAAGGGCTCTGAAGCAAGTATAAGGAGGCTTAGGCACCAGAAAGAAGCCTTTTGGAAGCAACTGCATCTTCACCGTGAAGCTTTAAGGGCAACAGAATCAATGAAAGGCAGGCTCTATTTGAGTCTGGAAACAACCAAATTTTTTGGAGCATTTCCCTTTTCTTCAGGCAGCAACTAATAAATCCTCCTCACTCCATTTCCAGGGGAACAGTTGGGGTGACTGGATTATATAGACCCAGATAACCTCAGAGGGTCTATATCTGGGCCTGCAAATGAGAACTACTGAATTCTGGCCACCAGGCTATCAGCCAACACTATATCATAGATTGCAGAAAAGTAGTCCAGAAAGAAAAAAGAGTAAGAAGATTAGGCCAGGCGCGGTGGCTCACGCCTGTAATCCCAACACTTTGGGAGACCGAGGCAGGCGGATTACGAGGTCAGGAGATTGAGACAATCCTGGCTAACACGGTGAAACCCCGTCTTTACTAAAAACACAAAAAATTAGCCAGGCTTGGTGGCACACGCCTGTAGTCTCAGCTACTCAGGAGGCTGAGGCAGGAGAATCACTTGAACCCAGGAGGCAGAGGTTGCTGTGAGCCGATATCGTGCCACTGGACTCCAGCCTGGGGGACAGAGCGAGACTCTGTCTCAAAAAAAAAAGATTAGACATTTATTAACTATATGTCAAGCACTATGCTCAGTTCTTTTTTTCTCCTTTAGTTCTCATGGTAACTCAATAAAATAGGTGTTATTATTATTACTACACCCAATTTACAGAAAGGGTAATTAAGAAAATATGAATTCAGGCAGTTTGTCTATGCTCACCCAGCAAGTAAGCTTGGGATTAGAATTCAACTCAAATCTGACTCTAAATCATAATCTTAATCTTTATGCCATATTCCCTCCAAGCAGTGCAGAACATATATTGAGTCCTAAAAACCTAAAAGTACCAGAAGGACAGGGAGAAGGCAGAGAATCCCTTTAACTTTACACCACTGATGCAGAGGTATGTATTGAAAAGTATGATTAGGTTGCCATGGAGTAGTTGGAAGATGTAAGCTCTATCCAGCACAGTCCATGAAGACTGTGACTCATGCATCAGCAGCCAGGCACAGTTCTGGATAAAATGGGTTATACAAGAGGGGCTGGGACAGTAAGAAAGGGAACAAGGGAGATCCCCTTCTCTATCTCTGTAAAAAAGATAGGTTCTCAACATTTTTTGAATCTGAAAGAGGGACTTGGCCAGATGTATGAAATATCAATACATGGTTCCTATTCCACATTTGCCTAGGAATACACACCAACCAGCATCACCAATGGGAGGGAGAATGTATTCAAAGTTAGTTTGTGGCTTACCAGGTCGACCTACAATGCCTCCATAAGAGCAAGAAAAACTCTGAAATAAAGGCAAGGTAGAAAGTCATGATTTCACGTGGCTTCTTTGGGAAGTTCTCACCTTCCCAGATGCCTCCACATCCTGCAACACTTGGCAGTCTAAAACCACTTCCTCCTCCATCATTTCTTCACTCCATCGTTGGCACTGAGGGTACAGATTTGTCAATGAACTATTTTATGTTTTTCCCCTTGCAATCTGGCAATATTAGCTCTCTAATGAATTGCTTCAACTCGTATATTTTTTGGACAAATGTGACTTTTAGTTGAATTGTGCAACATCCATAAATAGCAAATCCTGGCTGATTAGAATCAACGAATGCCCTTAAAGTTGCCAGTAAAAATGGGCCCTTAGCTGCATGTTACTTAATAATTTGAAAGGCATCTGATTATTTTTGGGAAAAAACCTTTTACACACACATTCTGTCATCTGTTATGTATGTAGATATGTATTTGAATTTGAATGGATTATTGCAAGCCAGCCATGTTATGAATATAAGTGCTAGATATACTTGGATTTGAAACTAAACACATCTGGGTTTGAATCCTACCCTCTGCCACTTACAAGCTACGTGAACTTGGGTACATTTCTTAATCTCTCTGCCTCTCCAGTTTCTCATATGTAGAATAGATGTAATAAATCCCTTGCAAGCTTGACTTAAGGAATAAATGAGACCACACATACAATGTACTTGGCACAGTGTCTAGGCATATTATGGCTTAATAATTAGTAACTACTATTATCATCATGATGTTCTATTAATAGAGGATTAGAGTAGACACAATTTGTGGTCTCTACCAACACTTAATCTTCCCTTTCTGAAAACTGCCACAGCGATGGGCCTCCAAAGCCATATTTCTATTACATGACCCTGCTTTAGTGATAGGGCAAGAATAAGGATACCAAGCAAATGTGAGTTTAAGCAATTTTCCTATACTCACCCAGCCATTAGGTTTTTTACACAACTTAGCAGGTTCTCTTTCCTGAAAGTTTGGATTAGGAAATAGTCCCTATTATCCCTCTAAACTAAGAAATTGTGAGGCGGTCATGTTTGGCAACATGCATGCCAAGGCACTAAAAGTCAGTCTGCAGAATGTTGTTGATGTGCAGAGAGAAGCAGATTGACTTTGACTTGAACTCAAAACAATGCCTTGGTTCCGATAATTTTCCACTTCCATGAGAAACCATCTTCCTTCCTTCCTTCCTTTTTCTTTCTTTCCTTCTTTTTCTCTTTCTTTCCTTACTACTTTGGGTGGGTTTCCATAGTCTTCAACCAAAAGATCTTTGTTAACAGTGTCATCTCTGTGCATAAGGCCACCAGATCTTCTCTGCATGGCTTGGATGACCTAAGCATTTGAAAGGTACCTGATTTAAACAAACAAACAAACCCCAAAAACTTCATACACACACACACACATGCACACATGCGTGCACACACACTTTCCTTGTTATCCTTTTTCAACTCCTGAAGAGCATTAGGTATAAAATCAAAATAATCATATATGTAAGGAAATCATGTATGTATGGAAAAAAGGGAATAACAAAAATATAAAAGAAAAAGAGCCATCAACATTCCTGATCTTACAAAAGTAGGTCATCTGATCACTTTCCAGAAACCAAGAAAGAATGGAGAGACCCCAGCTCTTTACCTGGTGTTGCACTGGATACTGTTGGCCACTGCTGATCAGGCCCTCCTGGACCAGCCCGTAGAATGCCAGCCTCCTCTAGGTGCACAGAGCTGAATAAACACACAGACCCAGATAACGGTTAGATCATAAATTCTTTCCCATCTCTTCTTCCACCCTCAGAAATTGCTTACAACTATGAAGCCAGGGCTGCAGCTAACACATTCTGCTCATGCTTGAACTGAAGCAATTACTGCTGAGCAGTCACCCTGCATAAACTGCAGAAGCATTGCTGACTTACTTATTGCCTGCTATACTATTCCAGGAACACACATGTTCTATCTTTATGGCAATTCTGTTTTTTATTAACGCCATGTGGCGCTCACTAAATCTAACAGGAAGCCCATCAGAGGACTAAGCCATTTTAACATCTCGATACTGAAGCAGATGAGGAGGGCTTGTTCTCAAAAGTTCCAAGCCTCTCTTGCAGGTTCTCTTGTTCCTAGGTTCTCTACTCTAAAGAAGAAAACACACTAAAATATTTTCTGATAATTGGAGTATTGTTCCAATTTGGCTATCTAATTAATTCTTAACCTTATTTTCTATTTTACTCTTTCTATATCTTTTATGCATAGATGACCCACCCTATATTTCCTGAGACTAGAGAAACTTGATCACCACCACTCACAGATCCCCGCTCAGAAGAGATTAATTCAGCATAAAACATTGCTGGGAGTGAGATACAAACTGGGAGACCTTTAGAGGCAAGCAGAGATAGAACATAAACTGTTCAAGGGAAAAGAGAACATGGTGCAGTATTCATTTATGTATGTCTAATACTAACTCATATTAATCTCTCAAATATTTGTTGGATGAATGAATGAATGAATGAATGAATGATGGAAGGGAGGAAGGAAGAAAGGAAGGAAGAAATAAGTGGGATCCTAAGAGAAAATGTCCAAGAAAACCCTCATCAAAATTAGAGGAACATTTTGTTTTATTTTATTTATTTTTGAGACAAAGCCTCACTCTGTCACTCAGGCTGGAGTACAGTGGCACGATCTCAGCTCACTGCAACCTCTGCCTCCCAGGTTCAAGCAATTCTCCTGCCTCAGCCTCCCAAGTAGCTGGGACTACAGGCACCCGCCACCATGCCTGGCTCATTTTTGTATTTTTAGTAGAGACAGGTTTTCACCATATTGACCAGGCTGGTCTTGAACTCCTGACCTCAAGTGATCCACCTGCCTCACCCTCCCAAAGTGCTGGGATTACAGGCATGAGCCACTACACCTAGACTAGAGGACCCTTTTAAACTAGACATTTGCTTATCTTGAAAGTTAAATTTCTAAAATAAAATTTAGACTACTGACTAAAGGGGTTATATGAGGCAACAGAGCAGGCAAACTTGAACTATTAGAGGGAAGGCAACATATAAGTTCAATGTTTTCTCACTCTTTGACTTCAAACAACATATCCAGTAGAAATTCACTCATTAAACTCTGACCTTTTACTATTCTTCCCCTTGTCTACACTCTAGAATTATCTGTTTTTTTTCCCCAAATATTAACAGCCTTCAAGTGTTCCTGGATCCTACTAGCAAATTGTGTGGGCTCAGTCAGATTCATGAAGGTGTAACTATCCTGGAGCCAGCTCAGCTCAAAGCAGAATTTTTTAAAGAATAGTTACATGATGTCCAAGACTGGAAAGACCGAGAACACCCAAGCACACATACGAAAAAGATTAGTATTATTTAGGTTCACAACTCATTTAATATGTTCAATGTATTACAATGCAAAAAAGAAATGGCATTTTAATTTCAATTTTTATTTTATTTCTTACCCTACTCAAATCTCATAATATCTTAATTGAAACCCGAATAGGAGCACATTTGGCTTTTTTTTTTCAATTTGAAAATGGGATAAGGAAGTTATGTTATTTTATTCATTTATTTATTCTTCTGAGACAGAGTCTCGCACTGTCGCCAGGCTGGAGTGCAGTGGCTCGATCTTGGCTCACTGCAACTTCCGCCTCCCGGGTTCAAGCGATTCTCCTGCCTCAGCCTCCCTAGTAGCTGGAACTACAGGCACATGCCATCACGCCCAGCTAATTTTTGTATTTTTAGTAGAGACAGGGTTTCACCGTGTTGTCCAGGATGGTCTCGATCTCTTGACCTCATGATCTGCCCACCTCGGCCTCCCAAAGTGCTGGGATTACAGGTGTGAGCCACCGCGCCCAGTCCAGGAAGTTATGTTTTAATGTTTTATTTCAAATGTAGTTTTTAAGGCACAACTCATAGCTTTGGTACTTTTCAAGAGTTGGTACTGTAAACCATGCTTTTACCCATTGCATGTCTCCACCAACAGCTCAGATGCAGGCAAAAGCACAAGTTGGTCTCTAATAAATATAAAGAATTTCTTCTGATACCTAATATTCTGGTATATGCATGAATGTTTCTGGCCTAAAATTATGACCCAGGTTCCAATGTGACATCTTACCAAGCCAACTACTAATCTTCAGCCCTTCACTGATTGCTTCTGAATCAGAAATAGCACCCAATGTAATGATTTCTGCTCATTTGTAATGCTTGAGAGTATGTTAATTTATTTCAATCTAATGCATTTTAATGGGCTAAAACTAATTTCACATTAACTCTACACATACTTTGTAGGCTTTCTCTTTACGAACTGATCTAAGTTTGGTGAATATTCACTTGATAGTTGCCCAGATATTTTGAGGGGCTTAAGTTTGAAGATTATTTCTTCTTTAAAATTAAATCCTTTTGATAGTTGTGATCATTTGTTTCTTGGTCCTTCCCATTTGGTTTCCAAAGACATTCGCAAATAATGAATCTTTTATTTGGCCCCATGGCATGGATACTGGATCACCTCCAGAAATAATGGTAGTTAATCAATTACTGTCAGAGAGACAAAGTAGAGAAAGCAAAATTATATTTAATCTGAGTCTTAGACTAATACCGTTACTCTAGGTTAATTTAAAGTAAGCTAGATTTGGAGCCCTTTACATGGCTCATCTTCTGAAGAACCATGTCATTGATGACAATAAGATAGCAACAGATGGGAAAGATGAGGAGGCTCTAATAGGTGTGAACACAAACAACAATAGCAATCAATTATTGAGGGTAATAGGATGTAATAGCCAATGTGAGATTAAAAAAAAAACAAGGTAGACAACATGTATGTATACATTGCACAATGTACCCAAGTCTCAAAGCATGAGTATTAATTACAGTTTTTAAAGGAGGAAAAGAAAGCATAGGTAGAGAGGGATGAAGGAGGTTGAAATTACTTCCCTGTAGAAATTTTGATGGGAGAAAATACATAGCAGCCTGTTTCTGTGATTTTACAGAGGACTCTTATATGCCAGCACTTGATAAGCATCTGGCACTGACCATTTGCGATCTTTCAAGGAATAAACATGGGGACAAAATAATTGCATTTTCCTGGCAAAGTACCTAAAGCTTTTTAGTTTTGACAGCTGCTTCTGGCCTATGGAGATGCAGTTTATCTGAGCCATACCAAGTTAAGGTTACTTCTGAGTGAATGAGGAGGGAAATACATACCTGTGCATGCCTGCTCTCAGGGAGGCAGAGTAACGCCAGTCAGGGTTGGGCTGTCGTGGCTGCAAAATCACAAAGAGAGTTTTCTGTTAAAATGACAAGACAATGTTCTCCCAGGAATGCTGCTAATTGATTAGTTACTCCCTTAAATATTTCCAGGCATCTAAAAAAGTATTGAATGAGCCATTTCATGTGTAACTCTATGATGATATCTACATATATAGCACTTTAGAAGAAAATTAGTTCATCAGGGTCCTCACACAGATTAGATACCCTGGAAGACCAGATTTAATAATCTTGTAAAGGCCACCTTTGGCTTTGCCTTGCCCAATACATGTCTGTGTTCTTAAAACACTACGGGAAGAACAGTCTGCTTTGAGAAAGGAAAAGCTTTCACTGCTTTTGCCCTCAAGTGCCCCATTAAGGGAACATTCCCAATTCAGTATTACAGCTATAACAGGGCACATGGCTACACAAGTTCTGCTGGCCTGGCTGGACTGCAGAGGACTGCAATCTGCTGCTGGCTTTGCAGACTGCAGCATATTTGACCCAGGGCGGATGTGCCCAGTCATAACACCAGCAACTGATAACAGTCTCTTTTCTGATTGAAGAGGGATACTAGGGAGAGGAAAACAAACTATTGCAGAGTTTGACCTTGTTTTGCTAGCTAATCCTTTTCATAAACTTGTACTTGTTCCTGCTCCTTCCTGAGTGCTTTCCCTCCTCACTGAATCACTGTTCACTAAGCTCTGATTGTTTAACAGGGAGTAGCTGAAATCCAAGAAAAACCTGATACATTTTGCATTAGTTGTGTATTGAAAAGATCTGTTGCCCTCTCTCTACAAACTCTCAGTCTGAAGGGGGAGAACAAAGAGGAAAATATGGGCACCTAAAGACTTAAAGACTGTTGGGGGAGTTATGTGCTGGTTAGAAGCTACTCAGAAATCACTGGGACATCATCAGTCACCATCACTGTCTTGTATCAGTAAGCAAAAATGTCACTGTGAAAAACTTGTGACACTCCTCTAGATGCGTTTTCATGGGCGGAGATTGAGGTGGCCCTGTCACTGAATATTGAGGTATAGTTGAATGAAAAAAATGGGGGATAAAAGTTGTATTTTGTATTTTCCTCTACATTATACTTACCATATTTGGTAGAAACAAAGCCATAGTAATATCAATAGACCATTCAAAACTGTCAATAATTCTTATTCCTATCATTCATATAGTTCCTTTAAGGGATGCAAAGTATTTAATAAACACATTTCTTCATAACACCCAGGAGAGAAATGATCACCATCTCAATATTCAGACAGATTTCTGGATGGCTACATGATATTTGGCATGCAGAGAATTAGCCAAAGTCAAGGCCCAGAAAAAGTTACAACTCTGGGATACTTTACCTCAATGGTCCTCACATGCTAACTGCTCTCTCTATTCTACCAATCTGCTAGCAAGATATGCATATGCAAGCTGCTTCCTCCTTTGTTTTCAAGTTCACAAAATGCTGTGGATATTCCATATAACATAGCATAAAATTATCTACAGACCAAATCAAAGGAGTTTCCATTATCTACTAGCGGTGTTAGAGGGAACAAAAGAAAATGTTTGCAAATCATTTTATAAACCTGGAAATATGACTAAAATACTTTTTATCAATCAGTCATCATCACCGTCTCTCCCCTCGCCATCAGGAGCACTATCGTTAGCTTGTCAGCTGAGAGAACCTTCCTTTGAGAAAGACTGTAACATCTGCTGAGAAATGTTGCCAATTTTTCTATGATTGGGTAACATTCATGATGAAAATTGCTGCAACTTGATCTTTGGAATGAAATCATCAAACTCATTTTGCTGAAAGGCACAGTTCCAGCAGGACTGACCAGGAAACTCAGTTCATTATACAATCTCACTTCCCCAATGACACATTTAATTTGTCATGCTGCTATTTTCTATACTAGTCCATCAGCAACAACATCCTTCTTAGATTCATTTGACAGAATCACAGTTACAAGATTTCTTATGGCAGTAAGATCAGGCAGGGAAAAGGAAAGGAAGAAAGCATATAATATGTTTTAAGTAGCTACACAGTACTAGATTTTGCACTTTATTACATACTGTTGCATGTATCCTAATTCTTTCTTTGTCAGACAGTAAACTCTATGAAAGGGATTATATCTGTTTTGCTCATTAGACACATGCATATCTTCAGATATTCATAAAAGCGTAGCTATATAGTCAGAGTCTAGCAGGCTTCTGGCATCTGGGAGGTTTTTAAAATGTGTTTAAATAAATGAACTATAATGCAAAGTCAACATTATTGTACTTAAATTGCAAAAATGAGACATCTGAACTTTGGAGAGATTAAATTACTTGTCTGATTGCTGAGTTCAGCTGACAGTCATGTTTAGGTCCCCTTAACACAAAAGTCTGTGTTTTATTTATATTTATTTATTTATTTATGAGATAGGGTCTTACTCTGTCATTTAGGCTGGTGTGCAGTGGCGCGATCTTGGCTCCCTGCAACCTCTGCCTCCCGGATTCAAGCAATTCTTCTTCCCCAGCCTCCCTAGTAGCTGGGATTACAGGCATCTGCCACCGTACCTGGCTAATTTTTGAATTTTTAGTAGAGATGGGGTTTCACCATGTTGGCCAGGCTGGTCTTGAACACCTGACCTCAGGCAATCCACCCTCCTCGGCCTCCCAAAGTGCTGGGATTACAGGCTTGAGCCACTGTGCCTTGCCAAAAGTCTGTGTTTTAAATAAATTTACATGAAATGACATATATTTTTCTTCTTTCTCTTTTTTACTTCTGAGTTTCCAGGATATTGATTTAAAACAATACAAAACTAAAAGTAGTAAAATGTACATGAGTTTCATCCAGAACTTGATTAAACTTGGAAAAATTCAAGTTGAAAAGTTGACTACTGATATATCTGACACAGTAAGACATATATTACTATCACAATTTCAATCACAGTTGAAATAACTGTGATTATTTAGTTCTTTAATACTTAGATGGTACCTCCCAGGACTATGCTTACTTTCTATTGGTGAAGAACTCTAATATGTCCTATTGCTTCAAAGGTTAGTCTTTTGGTAGAATAATGGTCACAAAACTCCATATGTGGAAAAAATCAATTAGGTAGTCCATATGGGTGATGTAGTATTACTGAAGAATAAGAATACACTTCAGTTCCTATTAAAATTATAAAAAAGATTTAATTTATCTTGTAATGGTATTATCTGTGATTTATGACATAGAATATTTGAGCTACAGAAGGATGAATCACCTCTTCTAAGATTTAAAGTAAAATAAGTTTAAAATACCCTATTTTATTAATAAACTCACACAACTACTCAATGAAATAATATGCTATCTTCGTACCATGGAAATCCATGTGGAAGACATCAACAAATTGCCCTCTGGGACATGAGACTGCATATAATATCTCCTTTTCCTTCCTAATAGGACTGTATTAAGAATATATCCACTGCAGATTTTGCATAGTGCTATTTTATGAACATTGATATAAACTGATAGGCAGAATTCCAAGATGGCCCCAAGATCCCTATATCCTGGTGTGCACACCCTGAATAGTCTCCAAGACTGTGATTGTGATGGATCTTATTCCCATGATTACATTATGCTATGTAGCACAGTTGGCTTTAAGAAAGGGAGATCATCTGGATGGGACTGACATAATCACATGAGCTCTTTAAATCTGGGTCTAGAGGTCAGAGACAGAAATCAGAGAGATCTGAAGCATAAGAGGGATTCCATGTGAGGGAAGATTCTCCAGTGCCAGCCATGAAGATGGAGCAGACCATGGGACAAGAGTCCTGAGTCCTCAGTTCTCTAGGAACTGAGAGTGACCCCAGGCCAATAGTAAGTAGGAAAACAGAGATCTCAGTCCCCAAACAACTGGATTCTGCCAACAATCTGAATGAGCTCGATAGTAGATTCTTCCTAAGAGCCTGCAAAGGACAACACAGCCCAGCTGTGTTCATTTCAGCCTTGAGAATACCTGAGCGGACAACTCAGCCACATGGTACAGGACTGTGAGATAACAAATAGGTGGTGTTTTAAACAACTTACTTGTGGTAATTTGTTACAAATCATCAGAAAAGGGATACATAGACTGTTCCGCATTAAGGCAAAAGGGAATATAACATTTAAAATAATCATTATGTTGCATATTGGTCTTCTAGTATATCAAAATGAGGGCTGGGCGCAGTGGCTCATACCTGTAATCCCAGCACTTTGGGAGGCCAAGGTGGAGACAGGAGTTCGAGAGCAGCTTGAACAACATGGTGAAACCCAAAAATACAAAATTAGCCAGGCATGGTGGCGCATGCCTGTAATCTCAGCTACTCGGGAGGTTGAGGCAGGAGAATCGCTTGAACCCTGGAGGCAGAGGTTGCAGTGAGCCAAGATCATGCCATTGCACTCCAGCCTGGGCAACAAGAGCAAAACTCCGTCTCAAAAAAACTAAAATAAAATAAAACACAAAGGTAATACATTTGAGAATTCTGGGTGGAATACTTTCCTCTGAATGTAGTCATTTAAAATGCTAATTTACAAACCAGGAAAGTAAAATAAACATAACTTTAGAACATACCTAATGGGTTCCAGTACAACAGAAAGTGCTAGGTCTGTTTAGTTCTGGATGCATAGCCTGCTAGCACAGCAGCTACTCTCTCACTCACAGTTGTACCTCCTTGGAGCCCAGAGTTCTGACCCTGGAAGGCCAGAAAGGAACTGATGGTGCTTATATGCCAAGGAACTAAGATTTCTCTTTACCTTTGCAATGTTGGATATTCCTTTGCATTTGTCAAGTTAAAATTCTTGAAAGAAAAACCCTTGTATAGTTTTCAGGTTAGCAGATTTAAAACACTGCAAAAGAATACTTTTAACCTTTGATTTTTGAAGTCATGGTTATAGATTATACTGCTCCAAATATTATCATATTAATAAGCTAAATTTATAGTTGTATTATCACATGCACAAAACATTGATCCAGGTGAAGTTCTGTAAAAGCCACATTTAAAGACACCTGTAAAATGCCATCATATTCAGCTAAACCTCTGGGTTTGGTGACAGGAATGTTTCCTCAAACATTTGCAAATTGACATTATTCTGACCTCTCATTGAGAGCAAAAATTGGTAGGCAACAAGCAAGTACCCAGAACTGACTTTGCTATTCTGTCAAGTAGACAGCATGCCAATAGGCAACCTATAATATGCCAGGCTGTGTCCCTGCAGAGTGTTCTGAGTTAGACCAGATGCCCATGTGATGGCTCACTCCTGGGTCAGAAGGAAACAGTAGGCCAATGACATTCAAGCTACAATAAATAGATTTCTTCTTCAGTCAGAATGTGTACAAGATACAGAAACAGAGAAGAGCTCAGCCATAATTCCATCTGGCTCAGCAGTCTGTAGAAAAATTGAGGAAAGAGGTAATTGAAATAAATTATTGTATCATCAGACCAAAGAAAATAAACTTTTTCTCAGAAGAAGAGTCCTGTGACCAATATGAAATTTGCAAACTAAAACAGCCCCAGTCATTATAAAGTGACCATCAGAGGATGAAAAACTGGAGTGGAAGCTCATAGATATGATTTCTTTGTCTATTCTGACCATTGTGCAATTTTTATAAATTCACTACTATGTCACTTTACAACGAGTGTAAACTCTGTTCCAGGATAGAGTCATCAGATAGAAAAATCAGTGCTGGGGGAAATAAAAGTAGGTGCCACTGAAAGAAGAATTAACTCTTTCAGGTCACTATACCTGGAATTAGGGTGAATATGCACACATAGTGGCAGAAATAACTGAAGGTTTGGTGACTACAAATTGCTTTAAAATAAGTGAAAGTGAATGCAAACTTAATTCATCTCTGCTACTCTTTCATAATTTCTACATGTTGTGCCAGCTGGGCCCACTGAGACACTGTTGGACAAATCTACTAGAGTACTCAAAGTGACTCATTAACAATCACAACACCACGACCACAAATGCACAGAATCTACCTTAAGATTTGGTTTCCTTTGCCGGGCATGGTGGCTCACATCTGTAATCCCAGCACTTTGGGAGGCCAAGGCGGGTGGATCACAAGGTCAAGAGATCGAGACCATCCTGGACAACATGATGAAACCCCATCTCTACTAAAAATACAAAAATTAGCCAGGCGTGGTGGCGCGTGCCTGTAATCTCAGCTACTCAGGAGGCTGAGGCAGAAGAATCACTTTAACTTGGGAGGCGGAGGTTGCAGTGAGCCGGGATTACGCCACTGCACTCCAGCCTGGCAACAGAGTGAGACTCCATCTCAAAAAAAAAAAAAAAAAAAAAATTTGGTTTCTTTTTATGGAGACTCTGAAGGGAGTGCCAACAACATTCAGTATCAAGTTCAGAAATTTCCAAAGAGAAATTCTGCCCTATTGCCAAATAGTTACTTCAGAATCCTCACTGCACAAGTGATTTATGAAATAAGCTCACTGGGGGTAAAATCTACCAACAGATTAGAGTCTGGGGTTAAATGCTGATGTTTAATAAGCAACAAGAGAAAAATCAGTGAAATAATAAAAATAAAAGATCTTAACAGGGTTTGCCAATAGTGAAGCAAATAAACAAATACAAATATACTAACAGCATGTGCAACATAGTGAGACCCCCATCTCTTCCAAAAAAAAAAAACACCTAAAAACTAGTCAGACACGGTGGCGCACATCTATGGTCCAAGCTACTCAGGAGGCTGATGTGTGAGGATTGCTTGAGCCCAGAAGGTCGAGGCTGCAGTGAGCCATATTCACACCTATACTCCAGCCTGGGTGACAGGCCAAGACTCTGTCTCAAAAAAATAAAAATAAAAAAATAGTAGTAACTCACTGATATTCCCATTTGTTACCTGCTTCTATGCCAGAAATTACTCTTTTTCCAAAAGCAGTTAATATATACGACTAGGTGAATTAGTGATAGCTTAAATGCCTGAATATCCCATATAAAAGGGAATATAAACATTGGAACTTCTGTCTACTCATAGTATTGAAAAAAAGTTTTTGGAGTCAGATGGATACAACTTAAAATAACACTAGCAGTGTGGCTGTGTAGATTACCTAACCTCCCTGAGCTTATTTCCTCATATGCTAGATGTTAACAAATATTTAACGCATGACTTGCAGGTAATGAAATCATATATGTATTCAATATTATAATATTCAATATATTGAATAATCTTGAATAATATTCAAGATTCAGTAATATGAGATATATGTATGTGTATATGTATGATATACATATATCTATATAGCAGGGTGGTTAGTGAGTACAAATTCCCTTACTCTTCCTCTCTAATTCCCATCTACTTTTAATGTAGGCACATGGTACTAATTGTACCCCAGGACTCTCCTGCCATCTGTAGTAACTAGGTAGGAAAAAAAGAAAGCCCAACATGGGAATTTAACAGGTTGATCTGGCAATGATGACTTTCAGAACTGAGTGGCTTTTGCTCCTATCTTGCCACACTGTAACAATGTGACACTCTCTCCCTATAACTGCAAAAATTTCTGGAGCTGTAGATCTTGGGGTTCTTCACTGGATTTCCAAAAGTGCCTGGCAGAAATTTGCCTTTATTAAAGTCATGCACTCTCCTGGCAAAATCTCCCAAAAGCAAGCACTTTCTGAAATAATTTTCTCCCTAGATTAAATGTTTGTGTACCAAAGTACATATTAATATACAGGTCAGTGTAAGACAGAAATAGTTTATGTATCAAATTGCCCCAAGCTTTGAGTCAGGAGAGGGAGGGTAACAGTGTCTTTCCTCTGAGCTTCCGGCTTACAGCTGGTGGCAAAGCTGAGCCTGGCCTGACTTGTTCATGCCTCTTCACCACCTGTAGCCCACCCCAATCCCAAAGGGCTTCACAAGAATTTGTTAAGCAAATGTCTACAGCAACCTTATTTAAAGCTAAACCCTTTTACGTGCTTTCAAATGCTACGATCTAAAGACTTCTGGAAACTCTTTGATTTATTCCCCCATTTTTCTTAATCTACAATCTGCCTCCCATGGTTTCTCAGCATTGACTAACACCAGGCACTTCTGATAAATGAATAAATCTATCTGAAATGTCCATGAGAAAAATCTACTCTCAATCAGGAATGGAACTTTTGTGCCTGTGCATTACATTCCTCAAGATTACCATGAACTTGAAATGTAACAATATGGATATTACATACAATATGTATGTACAGCAATATGTCAATGAAAATATATTGCAAAAAATAGAGGAGAGACAAATATTGTTCACACATTGTGTAGTAGCTCTAAAAGCCCTTTCTACAAAGTAGTTATTTGGAAAGATAACAATTCATCACTATTTATGGTACAAAATTTTGGCTTTTGAAATCCAAGTTTTAAGTATCACAAAGCATATCTCTGTTATTTCAAGCATACATATGGAGACGAACACACAACACAAACACACACACATATTCATCTACTTTCTAATAATTTATGTACATTCTTCATAATAATGAACAAGCTGGCCTTATACCTACTTAAATCTCAAAACTAGTGCATATACTAACACCTGCCTCTACACCTTACTGTAGGGTAAGCCATCCACTTTCCAAGCCAGCCTTTTGAAGCTATAGCAAATCAAATTTTAGATCCAGAAAATGAATGCATGCTTTGGAAGTACTGTCATTTAACTTAAAGACATGAAGGACTTGAAAAGGCTACTTTACATCTCATCAAAACCATAGAAACTGTCAACAGAAAATCAGAAGATTACAGGCTGCATTTAAGCTAAATTCAGGGAAATCCTCTTACAATGAATTCAGAGTATGCCAAGAAAGGTGACTATTGGGAGAATTCTTTTTCCCTTCTCTTCCTTCTAATCCCAGCTTCTCTTGGTCTTCACCATCCCCCCACACCCCTAATCCACTCATTCTAATACCTCCCTGGACCAACCAGACAAATTGGTACTTAATCTCTCTGCCTCACCATCATCCACTCCCTCTGACAGCCCTCTACAGAAGAGTTGCCACATCATACAGCCAAAGCAAACTTTAGCTTCAGTATGATGTCTAAATACTACAGCTTTATCACTTGTGACATGCATTTCCAGAGGATCCTATCACATAGGTTCAGTGCAAGTACCAGAAATATTAACTAGATAATTTCCACTGTAGACAGTCCAGAGTATAAACAGAGACAGCAGATAGTGGTGACTATGATAGCCCCTAGAGGCCTCAGAGCTTTTTAAGAAACATCACTCATATAGGATTTCAAAAGAAAAATTTCCCTGTAGATGATACAGCAGAGGCCATTTCTCCTTGAGTCTCATAACATTACTCCCTAAAACATAATCCCTATTCCAAGGCCTGTCCTGTTTCTCTACAAATCTGTGTTTTAGCATTAAATATTAAGACTAATCCTCACTTCTCAAACAATTTTATGGACAAGGCTTCATGCCTCTGAAAATGAAAAATAAAACAATTCTTTAGTGCTATTTTTCTAGAGAGGAAATAGCAGATTATGATCAAATTGTGGATACTATATATACTCAGTTTACCAGATAACTCTTGTCACTGTTAATGACTCAATAAAGCCAAATCACAGGATATTGGGGGATGTGTAACAAATGCATGAGTTTGTAGAAGACCCCCTGACCACTGTCTCACCTCATTTTGAGAAACAGCCTCATTTTTGAGAATAATCAGGTTCCCAGCATTCTGACCACTTTGGCCTGTGAGATTCCTGCTGTCAGTCACTGCTGCTTGGGCTCCCGAAGGCCCTGGTCCTGTCTGGGCCCCTGTATTGTAAAACATGAAAGTGTCACTCCCTGAGCCTGCTGTCAGACAGGCCTTGTAGCAGTAGGTCTTGGTGAGGGAGCCATTCCCTCGAACTTCAATGAAGTGAGGCTGCACTTTGAGGCCATGCGGTATCCTGGCATCAATATTGTTGTTGGCTTGTTTGTACAGTTCTGCAGGGGACCTTTCCCTTACTCCACAGAAGCCTCCACAGCATGCAGTGCCATACGCAGTGTAGCGGTAGCACTTGATGATGCTCAAAATGATGATTGTCAAAAGAAATATAAAAGACACTGTGCTTAATGCTATTATTAGATAAAGGGTAATTTCAGAGTATGTCCGAGGGCTCTTAACATGCCTCTGAGTGTCAGGGAGGATTTTGGAAACCCTATCCACCACAGCTACTGTAATGGCCACAGAGGCTGATAGTGATGGCTCTCCATTATCTCGGACCACCACGGTCAGGTTGAAAGTGCTACCACTCTCATCTCCCATCTTCCTGGTAGTCCTAATTTCTCCTGTGTGCAGCTCTACCTTAAAGAGGTCCAGGTCAGAAGTCTGGGCTAGATGGTAAAAAAGCCAAGCATTTTGCCCAGAGTCTGAGTCCATAGCTATGACTTTGGTGACCAGGTAGCCAGCAGGGGCAGTTCGAGGCACCATCTCGAAGGCTGCTGACGAGTTGGTTGAGGTAGGGTACAGAATGTGAGGGGCATGGTCATTCATGTCCACCACATATACGTTGGCAGTCACAGTGCTGCTCAGTGGTGGGCTCCCCTTGTCCTGAGCCTCCACAGTCACAAAGAACTCCCGAAACTTCTCATAGTCAAAGGAGTTGACAGCATAAAGGCTGCCACTGGCACTGTTAATGGAGACATAGGAGGTGACTGGCAGCCCTTGAATCTCCCTCTCCAGAAGGGAGTAGGTCACCTCTGCATTCTCCTTTTCATCTGGGTCTGTGGCTTGCACAGTACAGAGCAACACACCTGGCAAATTGTTCTCCTGTATGTAGATGGAATAGGAGTCCTCCAGGAAGCTTGGTGGATTGTCATTGATGTCAGAGATCTCAACCTTCAGTGTACGCAGGGATGTGAGCTGCGGTATTCCCCCATCTGTGGCTGTCACCGTGATGTTGTAGACAGCCACCCGCTCTCGGTCCAGTGGGCCGCTCACCACCAGTGTATAGGAGTTTCCAAAGCCATTCAGTCGGAAAGGCAGTGTGGCCTCCAGACCCAGGCTCACTTTCCGGTTGGGGCCTGAGTCTTGGTCATTGACACTGAGAACGGCCACAATGGTGTTGGGTGTAGCATTCTCAGGCACTGGGCTATACAGGTCCGTGAGCACCACCTCTGGGGCATTGTCATTCACGTCCACGATGTCCACCAGCACCTTGCAGTGACCTGCCATGGGCACTGGACCCCGGTCAGTCGCCTGCACATAGATCTGGTAGGAGGAGGCTTCCTCATAATCCAGCCCCCCAATTACTCGCACTTCCCCGGTACTGGCATCTATGCTGAAGAGCTGCCTCTCCCGGTCCGACGTGTAGCTGCTCAAGGAGTACCTGAGCTCACCATTGGAGCCCTCATCCGGGTCTGAGGCATTCAGCTTCACCACCAATGTGCCTGGGGGTGAGTCCTCCCGTAGCTGGACGCGATAAGTGGACTGGTCAAAGGCAGGAGAGTTGTCGTTAGTGTCCAGGACACGCACAGAGATCTGTGCCGTACCCGAGCGGGCTGGGATGCCCCCATCCACGGCTGTGAGAACCAGGTGGTGCAAGGCTGCCTGCTCCCGGTCTAGGCCCTTACGCAGCACCAGCTCAAGCACTTTACTGTTCTCCTGCAGGGGCTTAAGGTCCAGCTCGAAGTGCTCGCTGGGGCTGAGCTCGTAGGTCTGTACTGAGTTGGCGCCCACGTCGGGGTCCTGCGCACTCTCTATGTGAAAGCGCGCTCCAGGCGCCACCGATTCGCTTACCTGAAGCTGGTAGTTGGGCCGCGGGAAACGCGGTGAGTTGTCGTTGATGTCCAATATTTCCACCTCAACGGCGCTCACCGCCACGGGGTTGTGCGCCAGCACTTCCAAGCTGAGCAGGCAGCGAGGCCGCTGCTCACACAGCGCCTCCCGATCAATGCGCTCGTTGACGAAGAGCGCTCCACTCGTCAGGTCCAGCTCCAGGTAGCGCGGACTGGGCGCACCCAGATGGTTGATGCGCAAGCAACCCGGCCCCAAGCGCCGCAGCTCAAGCCCCAGCGCGCGAGCCACGTTGCCCACGAGCGCGCCGGGTGCCTGCTCCTCTGGCACAGAGTATCGCAGCTGGGAGGCCGCAGGGCCAGGTAGCAGCAGCAGCAACAGCAGCAGGAGAGGCAGTAGCAGCAGCCAGGGCATGGGCCGCCGGAGCCGTGGATGCTCTGTCGCCGCAGGTCTGGTGCCCGCCTGCTCCATAGCCACTGGCCGCGGCGGAGGCAGCCGGGCAGGGCCGGAGGCGGCAGCTTCCCCAGCCGTGCCCCACGCCCGGGCCCCGCCTCCGCTCGTGCCACCCTGCGCCTGCTCCCCCACCGCTCACGCTCTAGAAAGCGCCTGGGGCCGCTCCCTCCGTAGGCCCTCCCAAGGGCTCCTGGCCCCACCGTCCTCGCTGACTCCCCATATTCCAGCTCCTCCGCTCGCCTCCGAGTCGCTCAACCCGGCTCGGCTTCCTGCTGCTGCTGCCGCTACAGCTCCAGGGGGAGGGAAAAGGAAACAGAAGGGAAGACAGAGGGGGAGGGGGAAAGGGAGCGGTAGGAGGGCTCAGCAAGTCCTGCTCTGATTCCGCGCCGAAGTGGCGGACAGCGAACCCGGACTGCTCAGCCTCTCCAGCCCCATCTCCTTCACCCTGGACCTGCCGGATCCCAGCGGACCGCAGGAACACGGCCACTCCCTTTCTCCCTACCCCCACTGTCCAGTTCATCCAGTCTCCACCGTCTCTCCCCTGCTTAACGGGTCTTTAAGGAGATTAGTCTGGGAAAAGCAGTCAAGCCCCTAGAAGTCTGGCTATCAGCTCCCCAGGAAAAGATCTCCAAGCGCAATTCAGGAAAATAAACTGAGGGGCCTTAGCTAAGTATGGGCACCCAGGCGGCGGATCTAACATTAAAAGGAAACAACGCAGGGGGAGGCGCTCTGGGGTTACTGGCGATGGGAACTATTCACCTGACTCCCACATCTTCCCTGGACACTCTTAAGTACTGCAGAAAGTGCTCAACTCCTAGGGCAAAAGGAGGGGGATGGCAAATGCTGCCCTCTTTCCGGGAGCAAGCCTAAAACCAGCATCCTGGGATCCAAGACTCAATTCTGCTCTCGGCCAAGTGGCCCTTATTTTCAGTGTGTGCCTTGGCAAATAACCAATATTTAAATGTTTAAAATGCTCTGTTTAAAAAAATAGTCTCCATGAAGCTGTAGGCAAATCTATTATTTGACCCATTTTGGCGACAATGGGGAAAATCTGGTAAAATTTTTAAAGAGATTCTTCTCTCAAGCTTTTTCTAATCTTGCTTCAAATCTTTTACATTTATCACCCAAGACATTTTCTTTCAAGAGTAATTTAAAATTTTTTCTTTAATGGATGACAATGTCTTCAAGAGTCTGCAAAACCATTAAATCAAGAGCGTTACTGTTGATCTCCTAAGCCAGGCTGGAATTTGGATTCCATTAATGCTTTGCAGTTAAAAAAAAAAAAAAATCTGCTGTCATTAAGCAAAATGTGGGAGTCTGGGATTTATCTTACAATAACCAGCAATTTCAATGACTGCAGCTTATCTTCCTTAAATATAAGACTCCTTAGACTTCTGTTCTTCTGTGTCCCCAAGTTTCCTCTTGTACTGCTATAGAGGCAACACAGAGACAACAAATTCACTTCAGTAAAAGAGAAGGTAGAAGGATCAGAGGAAATCTTTCCATGCTGTGTCATTGCCTCTGCTGCTCAGTTCTGAATATTCACTCTTCCCAGGTTCTCACATTTCTTCCACAGGAATTTGAAATCTATTGCCTCATGTGCAAAAAAAGCACTCACTAAAACGTCCTTTCTCTTCATCTCCCAGTATTCTGTCATCTGTAGATCTTCCTCTATGGGTCATTTTCTAGCTATGGACTGGAACAAAGTCAGAGTGAGACCTGACATTTGGCATGCTTCCCTCCTAGAGCGGACAGTTAAAGGAGCCAAGGTTGTGATCCTGACACCCAGAATTCAAAGGCCTGAACTAGCACATCCCTTCGTTCCACCAACCAAGCACACTCACTATCAATGCTCCACTACCTAGCCAGTGTTATTCCAGAGAAGCGCCCAGCCTCCTATCACTGCTGCTTCTTATTTGTCCTCTTTGTTTCCTCAAGGGTACAGAGTAGGAAGCAATTTTCATCAAAATCTATTCCTGTCTCCTTTCTTGGGTCTCTGGCTTCTTCCTCTTCTCTCTGCATCCTCCCCAAACATCCCTACAATAATTCTGTCTCAGTTTGCTGTGGTAATTTGATCTCGGAGGCCTTAATCTCTCAAGTGCACAAATTGTGGACCTGGCCTGTGTCCTCACCCATTACTTGTTTCTGAAAATAAATGGCTTATAAGTGGAATCAAGTTGTAAGTTGTCATGAAAAGTGATCTTTCCTCCCCTTATCTCCTCCCAGCCCTCCAAGTCGCTGCCATCTCTGCACGCAGCTCAGAGACCTGGCCACTGGGTATTGACCAGGCATAGACCTGTGACTGTGAAAAAATCATAGGCACTTAAGGAAGAGATTACAGTGGCAGAGGCTTGGTAATTTTTTAATGGAAGCCCCCAAATGTCATGTCTTGGGAGAAAAACCAGGACTCTCCTTTCAGCACTCTTGTCATCTTCCAGCAAGGACACCTGCCAGGTTGTCCATTATGCTGTTTTAGGCCTTGTAGGTATTTAGCTCCAGCTAGAATTTACTGCCTTAATTATTAAGGAGTCAAATATAAAGCCAACACAATCAGCCTCATTTTGAAAGACATTGTACTAAAGAGATGGTATACTCTATTTGGCACTATAATGATTTCGTTCCTCACACCATTATACTGAGGCTCCTGCCAACCTTACTAGTTGTTAGAATGTGATTGCTCAGACTGTTGTTAATTACCCTTTCTACAAATATTAACACTAATGCCTTGACCACACCATTATGCATTCCTTTCCTTGGACCTTCAAGAGCTCTCTATTAAAAAGTAGAACACAGTAATTAGGAATATAGACTTTGGAGTCAGTCACACTCCTGCCAGTGACTAACTGTTTGGCTATGGACATGTTACTTAGCCTAAGCTTCACTTTACTCATTTTAATTAAGGAAAACAATAGTAAGCAAAACTCATACGGTTATTATTATGATTACATGAGAAAATGTATGTAAAGCAATTTGCACAGTGACTAGTTAAGTACATTATTGTTGTTGTTGCTGTCGTCATGAAATACAACAATTTATTATCATCAGATAAAACCTTAGTTGGCAGTCTATATGTAGCATGGCCCTTTAGATATCAAACACGGATAAACACATTTAACTATGCCATATAGGAAATCAACCATGATAGGGAAGATGCGTATGCAACAAAGTTAAGCTTTCCCAATTACGTCTAGAACTATATCCTACATTTTGAGAACAAAACCAGAAAACAGCCCCTTTTTATATCATGAAGTAAATGGGACTTCTGTTATGAGAACCCCTTCAAGAGATTTGTTTCCTCACAAGAGATTTACCTTTTTAGAAAACACAGAAATACTTTAGCAACAGAGTATGAAGTTAGTTCCTAAACATGCTGTAATCTACAGCATCCAGTAGGGAGCTTGGCACAGAGGTGCTCAATTAATGTTCTTTGAAAAGAACTAAATTTACAAATTTATCTGTGTAATTCTAATACAAACAGCTTCTTATTTTCTCTCCTCCTTATAAAATCTTACATACATTTCAAAGTCCAGATGAAAACCTACCTAATCCATCAAACAGTGTCTACTCTAAACACGAGGTTTTTTTTTTCATTTTCACAGTCTACAGCATATCTGTAAGATGGCATGTGTCATTTTTAAATTCATCCAAATAATTTAATATTATCTCTTTAATTATAAGCAACCTGAAAGCAGGAGCCATGTCTTATATTTCTGTCTCCTTCACAATGTAGAAACCCTTATAGACTCTCAATAAATGTTAATTGCTTCATTTTCTTCAGATCTTATTTTTAGTAAACTCAAGCTGCTACAGAAAAATTTCCTATATAGGGATAGAGCATATCTTATGGAGAGGAGGTTGAGAAGTATCTGTCAAATAGGGAAGGAGCTAGTTTTCATTTTTTAATTCATGTATTTATGTTGCTCTACAAACCGAGCACAAGTTATATAATAAAAAAGAGACAAATGGTCATCTCTGATGTTTAGAGTTGTCCAAAGTAGTTTTTAAAAATTCCATCTTGTTAAAAACGAATAGGATTCCTGATCTTCATGCATCCCCAGAAGGAAAATACTTTCCAATATGATTATAGCATTATTTACAGATAAAACATCCAGTGGATGGGAAGATGAAAAAGTTTTCACATAACTTGATGGCTAAATTTTTTCACATCTCCCTTCCTCCAGAAGAAATATATCAGTCAAATATTTGGCATTAACAATTGGCTTTTAGGGGGAGATCCTCTACATTTTTAGTTCTAAAAAACTAATATATTATTGATAGTTGGCTGAGGTGTCTGAAAATTGCTTAGAATAAACAAAGAGATTCAAGCCATAAGAGATTCAAGCCATCTTTGGATAAGTAACAATAAAAAGGGAGAGACAGGTTTGGGGCAGATTGCGTAATATTAACAGATAAAATCAAACTAGCCAGTATTGGGGGGAGTTTTACTTCTTTATCAGTATTCTCAATTGAGATGGCCTAACAAGAATCATAGAATATTAAAGGTTGAGGTTTTTTAAATTATAAAATTATTTTTCATTGAAGAAAATGGTTAAGTGAAACTTGAACCTCAAGATCAATAAGGAGATAGGAAGCATAAAAGTGATATAAGTGGCCGGGTGTGGTGGCTCACGCCTGTAATCCCAGCACTTTGGGAGGCCGAGGCCAAGGTTAGGAGATCGAGACCATCCTGGCTAACATGGTGAAACCCCGTCTCTACTAAAAAATACAAAAAAATTAGCCAGGCATGGTGGTGGGTGCCTGTAGTCCCAGCTACTCGGGAAGCTGAGGCAGGACAATGGCGTGAACCCAGGAGGCGGAGGTTGCAGTGAGCCGAGATCATGCCACTGCACTCCAGCCTGGGCAACAGAGCGAGACTCCATCTCAAAAAAAAAAAAAACTGATGTAAGTAAGTCAATTATCTGTGGCCAGATAAATGATCTTCCAAGGCACTGAAATAACTTACAGATGTGACTAGAGAACCCAATTTCCTATCTTTTAAAAAGTGCCATTAAGCTTGATATAAATTCCTTCAAAACTGTAATATTACTAAAGTGATTGTTTATGAGCACTTAGAAATGAAGGCATTCATACTAAGGACTACTCCGGCTTAATTAAAAACTGGTAACTTCAAACTAACCACATAGACTTAAGATTGTTTTTCATATGGGCACTTTAGTTTCATTTACTAGAATCATTGCCAAAATAAATGCTTATCAAAACAAAATTTAAAAAAAGAAATGCTGCAGGAACAGTCTATCTAGAATTTGTGGAGACATTAAACAAAGTCTCCCAATATACTCACGTGGACAAGACAAAAAAAGAAAGGCAGCTGCAAGACAGTGTAGTTAGGTGATTTTGTAATTGTTTAAATAACATGCCAAAAAGTGTTTACTAATGGAATAGTTCAAACTAGAAGGAGAATTCTAATGGGGACTACAGGGATCCACTCTTGGTCTCTCAAGAAACAGAGCCTGGTAAATCATGTTCTTTAACCTCAAGAAACAGAGCCATGGTAAAAAGAAGCTTCCTGGAGCTTCGGATAAATTCCATCACCTTTTTGGGACCCAGTTTCTTCATCAATACCAACCTCACTAGGGTCCTGTGAGGAGTACATAAGGTTAGATATGTACTGAAATAATATGCCAACTCTTAAGTGCCAAGACATTAAGATGCAAGGGGGTTGGGTGACCAAAAAGTCAACAATTACTTGATACTCCAGATATCCCATTCAACATTTTGTTAATGACTCAAAACAAGGAGGTAGCAAGTGTCCATGCAGTCCAGCAGCAAATTGAGCATTTTTGGAACAAGAATTGCAACTGCCTAGGTTAAGCTATGTTTCTAATTCACTAAACTTAGTACCAATTTTCTATCTGAAACTCAAGATATGCCCCAAATTCATTAGTGTGTATTTCAGCTAATTTCTGGCTTATAGTTGCCATTAAACCTGTTCCAAGTTTCCATTCATCACTTGGGACCTCTTATTTTAATAGAAACCTTGTTTGGCCCTATTTCTCCTCTGTAACTCTTGGGATTTTAGCCATGGACTAAAATCATGGACTAAAATAAGATGAGTATTTGGCACTAAAGAACACCCTCATTCCCAAGTAGGTTTTAGCCAAAGCATTCATTGATTTGGATAGGGGTTTTAAAAATATATTTCAAAAACACACTAGATATTGTTGAAGTACCTTGAATTTGAACTGTTTTCCAACTGTTTTCCTAAGCTCAGTCTATATGAAGGCCACAGTTTCTCTTTCCTATACCCATTATGTTTGCTGCTTGGAACAAACAAACCTACACCTCTGTGTAAGAAGGATTACTTCTCAAAATTATCCATACATATATCTAGAGTATCAAGTAATTGTTGACTTTTTGGGCACCCCCCCTTGCATCCTAATGTCTTGGCACTTAAGAGTTGGCATATTATTTCAGTACATATCTCACCTCATGTACTTCTCACAGGACCCTAATGAGGTTGGTATTGATGAAGAAACTGGGTCCCAAAAAGGTGACGGAATTTATCAGAAGCTCCAGGAAGCTTCTTTTTACCATGGCTCTGTTTCTTGAGATCCTGAAATAACATCTGACCACTACACATGCAACCCCTAACTTAAGAATTGTATTATCAGTCTCAAGCTATTAATATCTAAGTATTTCATAAGGAATACTATTGTTCCCACAACTACAAGTTTCTTTCTCTTTTAGAAACTTCAATTGAATCTTCTGTACATGTTTTTAATAATAAACAGCCGGACTTAACAAAATCATGATGCAAAATAGATTTGTATTTCATATCCCAACTTCTTCTTTCAGTAACATCTACCTCCTACCTATGATATTCTGCCTAAGTAATGGGGCTTTACAAATGGCTTTGATTTTTCTGATATAAATCCCACTCGTGTATTCCTTGACAGATTTTGCTACATAATTCCTTTAGCAGTTACAGGCATAATACATTATCATGTGGGTAAAATATAAATCCTCTAAATTAGCCATGTTAATATACACTGTTCTTACTGAATATTAAAATATACTTTAAGGCATTTTGATGAGATAATGTTATCTAAAAATTTTCCCTTTCAAAGCTCATTTTATTGAAATTATTTAGAAATGATTTACAAATTCTTCAATTTTGCTTCTGTGTTTTTTCTCTCTTTTTTTCTATCACAAGCAAGAAAAGCATGTTATACTTGGCTGATAGAATTGAAACAAAAAATCTAGTACTGATTCTATTTATACAGCATCTCTGAATTAATGGTCTTAAAGATCTTAAAATTTTTTAGTTTGATCCATATATAACAATATGCCTTGATTGATGCCAACTTCAGCTTTTCAGCACAAAATAGAAAAAAATACACAAATTCTCAGATCAATCAACACTTTATCTTAATTTGTGACTTTTTTTTTTGAGACAGGGTCTCACTCAGTTGTCCCGCTGGAGTGCAGTAGCATAATCAAAACTTATTGCAGCTTCAACCACCGGGCTCAGTGATGCTCCCACCTCAGGCTCCTGGGTAGCTGGGACTACAGTCATGCACTATCATGCCCAGATAATTTTTGTATTTTTTGTAAGGACAGCATTTCACCATGTTGCCCAGACTGGTCCTGAACTCCTGGGGTCAAGCAATCTGCCCACTTTGGCCTCCCAAAGTGGGCTCACCTCGCCCACCTTCGGACCCCTGCTGAATGTCCGAAACCAAGGATAATACTGAATTCTATATATACTGCATTTTTTCCTATACATACATACCCATGATAAAGCTTAATGTATAAATTAGGTACAGTAAAAGATTAGCAACAATAACTAATAATAAAATAGAACAATTATAATAATATAATATTATTACAAGTATGAGCCACCACACCCAGGCAGACTTTTCTGTATCTATTATATAGCTACTGGTCAATTCTTTTATAAACCCAGTAAACCAAAGACACTGGAATGATAACTTTAAGATATAAAAATTAAAACAGAATGGTGTGATAATTTACTAGAAATAGAAAGTTGATTTCAAACAGAAATGGGTAAAAATCTCCTTTCTCTCTTTCCCATTCAGTGTTACATTTATTATAACAGAGTTGTCACTCTAGGATATTCAATATCCTTTATAATTAAAATTTCATCATAGCTTTCTGTGATTGGTTTTCTGCAGTACTCTCAAGCTGGACTAGTATTCCTTTGATCCAATTATCATAAGCTCATTTAAAATCTCAACTGTGTATGAAACATTTATTGGTTCATAAATCAATGTACACATAGTATATATTGGACAGCCATGCCTCCTAGGATATGTGGACTTAGTGCTCTTTAAGCCAGCAGAAGTTGAAGAATAAAAGGTATTTTTAAATTATAAAAAGTGCTTCTTTCCAAGCATCAGTGATAATGTTTGATGACCTGTTAAGAAAATAGCAACATTCCTGATAAAGTCAGACTGTGAACTTCCTGTGATTTATTTATTTTTTGAGCTCTAATTTATTTTAATTAAGTTCAATAATATTTAAAATATATACTTCTTGTACCAAATTAAATTTGTTCAGAATTGTTAAAAACAATGAAAGTCCTTTAAAATCTAATTCCCTTGTATACTAGACCAGTAACAGAAAATTTATATCACTCCAGGCTTTTGACTATGCTATATAAATATACACACTGATACATTTTACAAAATGGAACCACACTCTACACACTATTGTACAACTTTACTTTTTGCTTCTGTGTTTTTTCTCTCTTTTTTCTATCACAAGCAAAGAAAGCATAGTATACTTGGCTGATAGAATTGAAACAAAAAATCTGGCACTGATTCTATTTATACAGCATCTCTGAATTAATAGTCTTAAAGATCTTTAAATTATTTAGCTTGATACATAGATAACAATATGCCTTGGTTGATGCCAACTTCAGCTTTTCAGCACAAAATAGGAAAAAAAATACACAAACTCTCAAATCAATTAACACTTTCTCTTAATTTGTGACTTTTTTTTACTTAACATATATGATGAACTTAGTTTTTACTTAACATATATAATGAACATCCTTTCATGTCAGTATATATAATTCTGCTTCTTTCTTAATAAAAACTACATAATGTTCATTGTCTAGATATTTCATAATTAATTTTTACTCCATGATTGAATATTTAAGTGCATTTCTGAAAGTGTGTGCATGTATATGTCTGTGTGTTTATTCTGGGAAGTGCTTTGTTAAAAGTACAGTAGTCCCTCCTTTTCCACAGAGAATACTTTCTAAGATCCCCACTGAATGTCTGAAACCAAGGATAATACTGAATTCTACATATACTATGTTTTTTCCTATACATACATACCTATGATAAAGTGTGATTTATAAATTAGGCACAGTAAAAGATTAACAACAATAATAATAAATTAGGACAATTATAACAATACACTATAATAAAAGTTTTATGAATGTGGTCTCTCTCTCAAAATATCTTACTGTACTGTGCTCACCTATTTTCTGAAACTGCTCAGAGTGAAACTGCAGGTAAGGGGGGACTAGTGCTTACATATTTAAATTTTAGGTAGACATGCCAAAATGCTTCGCCAAATTTTTGTGCCTATTTATATTCCCAATCGGTCATCAATAAACCAATTTATATACTTAGATTTGTCTCCAAAATTTTTAGTTCATAGTGTAGTAAAGAAACACACAGAATCATGTCCATAGCAATATTTCATTTTCCTTAATAAAAAGCCCTCAGTCACATTTATAATTTATTTTATATGACTCCCATAAATATCTAAATGCTCACTGAGAAATTCAGACCACTTCCTTGAATTTATTTTACTTAAATTGACTGATTAATTACAGTGTTTTAATGTAAATTTTATCCTATATCCAGCAAGATTAAAGTTTATACATTTAAGAATATTCATTCATTGATATCTAACTTTTCACACATTCATTCAACCATTTAACCCAAGATTTAAAAATATTAAATTACAAATTGAAGCAATAATAAATAGCCCACCAAGCAAACAAAGCCCAGGACCAGACAGATTTACAGCTGAATTCTATCAGAGGTACAAAGAGGAGCTGGTACCAATTCTTCTGAAGCTATTCCAAACAATGGAAAAGGAGGTACTCCTCCCTAACTCCTTTAAGGCCAGCATCATCCTGATACCAAAACCTGGCAGAGATGCAACAAAAAGGAAAACTTCCAGCTGATATCCCTGATAAGCATCAATGCAAAAATCCTCAATAAGATACTGGCAAACCAAATCCAGCAGCACATCAAAAAGCTTATTCACCATGATCAAGTAGGCTTCATCCCTGGGATGCAAGACTGGTTCAACATATGCAAATCAATAAATGTAATTCATCACATAAGCAGAACTAAAGACAAAACCCACATGATTATCTCAATGGATTCAGAAAAGGCCTTCGATAAAATTCAACATCCCTTCATGTTAAAAATGCTCAATAAACTAGGTATTGAAGGAACATATCTCAAAATAATAAGAGCCATATATATGATAAACCCACAGCCAATACCACACTGAATGGGCAAAACCTGGAAGCATTCCCCTTGAAAACCAGCACAAGACAAGGATGCCCTCTTTCACCACTCCTATTCAGCATAGTATTGGAAGTTCTGGCTATGGCAATTAGGAAAGAGAAAGAAATAAAGGGTATTCAAATAGGAAGAGAGGAAATCAAATTATCTTTGTTTGCAGATGACATGATCCTATATCTGGAAAACCCCATTGTCTCAGCCCAAAAGCTTCTTAAGCTGATAAGCAACTTCAGCAAAGTCTCAGGATACAAAATCAATGTGCAAAAATTGCTAGCATTCCTATGCACAAACAACAAGCAAGTAGACAGCCATATTATGAATGAACTCCCATTCACAATTGCTACAAAGAGAATAAAACACCTAGGAATACAGCTAAAAAGGGAAGTGAAGGACCTCTTCAAGGAGAATGACAAACCACTGCTCAAGGAAATCACAGTGGACACAAACAAATAGAAAAACATTCCATGCTCATGGATAGACAGAATCAGTGTTATGGCAATAATGCTCAAAGTAATTTATAGATTCAATGGTATTCCTATTAAACTTCCATTGACATTCATCACAGATTTCGAAAAAACTATGTTAAAATTCATATGTGTATTAATTTGTTCTCACACTGCTATAAAGAACTGCCTGAGACTGGGTAATTTATAAAAGAAAGAGGTTTAATTGACTCACAGTTCAGTATGGCTGGGGAGGCCTCAAGAAACTTAGAATCATGGTGGAAGGGAAAGCAAACACGTCTTTCTTCACATGGTGGCAGGAAGGAGAGGTGCCAAGCAAAAAGGAAAAAGCCCTTATAAAACCATCAGACCTAATGAGAACTCACTCACTATCATGAGAACTGTATGGGATAATTGCCCCCATGATTCAATTACCTCCCACTGGGTCCCTCTCACAACATGTGGGGATTATGGGAACTACAATTCAAGGTGAGATTTGGGTGGGGACACAGCCAAACCATATCAATATGGAACCAAAAAAGAGCCTTTATAGCCAAGCCGATCCTAAGCAAAAGAACAAAGCTGGAGGCATCATGCTACTTGATTGACTTCATATACACCACAAAACTACAGTAACCAAAACAGCACGGTACTGGTACAAAAACAGACGTGTAGACCAGTGGAACAGAATAGAGAACTCAGAAATAACACCACACACCTACAACCATCTGATCTTCAACAAACCTGACAAAAACAAGCAATGAGGAAAAGATTCCCTATTTAATAAATGGTGCTGGGAGAATTGGCTAGCCATATGCAGAAAATTGAAACTGGACCCTTTCCTTACATCTTATACAAAAATTAACTCAAGATTAATTAAAGACGTAATTCATAAAAGTATGAAACTATAAAAACCCTAGAAGAAAAGCTAGGCAATACCATTCAGGACATAGGCACAGGCAAAGATTTCATGACAAAAGTGCCTAAAGCAATTTCAACAAAAGCAAAAATTGACAAATGAGATCTAATTAAATTAAAGAGCTTCTGCACAGCAAAAGAAACTATCATCAGAGTGAAAAGACAACCTACAGAATGGGAGAAAAATTTTGTAGTCTATCCATCTGACAAAAGTCTAATATCCAGAGTCTACAAGGAACTTAAACAAATTTACAAGAAAAACCCAAACAAGCCCATTAAAAAGTGGGCAAAGAACATGAACAGACACTTCTGAAAAGAAGACAGTCATGCAGCCAACAAACATATGAAAAAAACCTCAACATCACTGATCATTAGGTAAATGCAAATCAAAACCACAATGAAATATCTTCTCACACCAGTCAGAATGGCAATTATTAACAAGTCCAGAAACAACAGATGGAGAAAAAGGAACACCTTTACCCTGTTGGTGGGGTTGTAAATTAGTTCACTCATTGTGGGAGACTGTGTGGCGATTCCTCAAAGATCTAGAGGCAGAAATACCATTTGACGCAGCAATCCCATTACTGGGTATGTACCCAAAGGAATATAAATCATCCTATTATAAAGATACCTGCATGTGTATGTTCATTGCAGCACTATTCACAATAGCAAAAACATGGGATCAACCCAAATGCCCATCAATGATAGACTGGATAAAGAAAATGTGGTACATATACACCATGGAATACTATGCATCCATAAAAAGGAACAAGATCTTGTCCTTTGCAGGGACATGGATGGAGCTGGAAGCCATTATCCTCAGCATAATAATGCAGGAACAGAAAACCAAATACCACATCGTCCCACTATGTGTGGGAGCTGAATGATGAGTACACATGAAAATATGAAGGGGAACAACACACACTGGGGCCTGTTGGGGGAGCAATGGGAGGGAGAGCATCAGGAAGAATACCTAATGGATGCTGGGCTTAATACCTAGGTGATGGGTTGATCTGTGCAGCAAACCACCATGGCACATGTTTACCTGGGTAACAAACCTGCACAACTAGCACATGCACCTCAGAACTTAAAAGTTGAAGAAAAAAATAAATAAATATTAAATTTAATTCTTGGATAAATGTAATGTTAAGCAAAAATTTCAAAACACAATGTCTGAAGCTCAGTCTAGTAGATCAAAGTAAGCTCATAATAAACAGACCCTTCCAGAGATAACAACTATAGCTCCTGGCCAAAATACATAAAGCAAATATCTAAGGACTCTGGGGAATAAACAAAAGGAGGCAGTTTTGGGAGAGGAGGGCACTAAAACTTGGAGAAAAGAATCAGCATGAAGTGAGTTTCCCGTTTTTGTTGCTTTGGCCTAATAGCTGATCAAGGTTGTGACACAGCATGAGGAAGTTAAAACTCTGACAGATAATCCCTAGTTTCTCCAGCTTAAGGACAAAGGGGAGGAGCCAGGAGCAACAGCACTGTAATCCACAACTGAGAGGGGTAGAGAATCCTTGAGTGCACAGAACAAAAGAAGGTGAGCCCTAAATTCTATGATCAAATTCTTCCCACATCTCTGCCGTCCCTGAATCACATATAAAGAGCAAAGGCTAAAGCTAAAAGAACTAAACTGAAGTTTGAACTGCTACCAAGCAGAAGCAAGAAAGATTTTGCATTTTTAGTCTAATCAAGTTTATTCTCTACTAAAACAAAAATGTCAACACCCTTCATAGAAATATAACAGTGATACGGTTTAGATCTGTGTCCCTGCCCAAATCTCATGTCAAATTGTAATCCCCAATGTTGGAGATGGGGCCTGTGAGAGGTGATTGGATCATGGGGGTGGATTTCCCCCTTAATGTTGTTCTCATAATAGTGAGAGAGTTCTCATGAGATCTTGTTGTTTAAAAGTGTGTATCACTTCCCCCTTCTCTCTCTCTTGCTCCTGCTCCTGCTCATGCCATGTAAGATGAGCTTGATTCCCCTTTGCCTTCCACCATGATTGTAAGTTTCCTGAGGCCTCCCCAGAAGACAAGCAGATGGCCAGCATCATGCTTCCTGTACAGCCTGCAGAACTGCGAGCCAGTTAAACCTCTTTTCTTTCTAAATTATCCAGTCTCAGGTGTTTTTATAGCAGTGTGAGAAAAGACTAGTACAGAAAATTGATACTGAGAGTGGGATATTGCTATAAAGATCCTGAAAATGTGAAAGTGACTTTGGAACTGGGTAACCAGGCACAGGTTGGAATAGTGTGGAGGGAAGATGAGGGAGAGCTTAGAACTTCCTAGAGACTACTTGAATGATTGGGACCGAAGTGCTGATAGTGAAATGGACAAAGAAGTCCAGTCTGAGGAGGTCTCAGATGGAGATGAGGAACTTACTGAGGACTGGAGCAAATGTCACTTTCCTTATGCTTTAGCAAAGAGCCTGGCTGTATTATGCCTGTGCTGTAGGAATCTGCGGAACATTAAATTTGAGAATGATGAGTTTAGGGTACCTGGCAGAGGAAATTTCTTTCTTTCTTTTTTTTTTTTTTTTGAGATGGAGTTTCACTCTTGTTGCCCAGGCTGGAGTGAAATGGCTGTGAGAAGAGGGCCACCACCCTCAAGACCCCAGAATGGGAATCCACCAGCAGTTCTAAGCAGCTTGCACACTGTGCCTGGAAAAGCTGCAGGCATTCAACACCAACCCATGAGAGCAGCTGCAGGAACTGAACCCCACAAAGCCACAGGAGTGGAGCTTCCCAAGGCCTTGGGAGCCCATCCCTCACACGAGTGTGCCCTGGATGTGAGACATGGAGTCAATGAAGATTATTTGGAGCTTTAAGATTTAATAACTGCCCTACTGGATTTCGGACTTGCATGGGGCCTATAATTCTTTCTTTTGGCTGGTTTTTCCCTTTTGGAACAGGAGTATTTACCCAATGCCTGTACCCGCACTGTATCTTGGGAGTAACTAACTTGTTTTTTATTTTACAGGCTCATAGGCAGAAGAGAGTTGCCTTGTCTCAGATGAGACTTTGGACTTTGGACTTTTGGCTTAATGCTGGAATGAGTTCAGACTTTGAGGGACCATTGGGAAGGGATAATTGTATTTTGCAATGTAAGAACGTCATGAGATTTCGCGGAGGGTGAGGGCAGTGGCAGAATGACATGGTTTGGATCTGTGTCCCCGCCCAAAGCTCATGTCACATTGTAATCCCCAATTTTGTAGGCAGGCCCTGGTGGGAGGTGATTAGATCATGGGGCAGGTTTCCCCCTTGGTGCTATTCTCATAACAGTGAGAGAGATCTCGTGAAATCTGGTTGTTTAAAAGTGCGTAGCACTTCCCCCCGTCCCTTGCTCCTGCACCGGCCATGTAAGATGAGCCGCTTTCCTTTTGCCTTCCACCATGATTCTTGAAGGCTCCCCAGAAGCCAAGCAGATGGCCGGCATCATGCTTCCTACAGCCTGTGGAACTGTGAGCCAATTAAACCTCTTTTCTTTATAAATTACCGAGTCTTGGGTGTTTCTTTATAACAGTGCAATAATGGACTAACACAAACAGAATGATGAATCTCAAGAATAACACATTAATAATATCAAGATATAATCCAAAATTACCTAACATAGAATACCAGAAAAATGTGATGCATTCCTAAAGGTAAAGACCATCAAGAATCCAAACCTGAGATGACACAGATGTGGGAATTAGCGGACAATGACTTTAAAGTAGCTACTATAACTATATTCAATAAGATAAAGGAAAACTTATTGGTAAGGAATGAAAATAAAGGAAATCTTATCAGAAAAAAAGGAAAATATAAGAAAGCCAATGGAAATTTTAGCAATAAAAATATAATATTTGAAATTAAAACTCACTGCCTGATCTTGGGAAAAATGGAGCTAAAAGAGGCAAAAGTCAATGAATCTGAAAATAGATCAATAGAAATGATCCAATCTGAAGAAAAGAAAAAGAACTGAAATAAAATAAAAATAAAATAAATCTCAGAGACCTATTGAACAATATAGAATATACAAGAATATGAAAGAAATGTATAGTCTTAAAGGACCAAACTTTAACCCTACTATGGTAAAACCAGACAATATTTAAAAAGTACCATATGTATGTAATTGGAGTCCAGAAAGGATAGAGAGAAATTAGGATTAAAAAATTTAAGGATATAAGGAACAAAAATTTGTCAAATTTGGTTAACAATATACATGTACATGTTTGATAAACTCAGCCAACCATAAACAGGATAAAAATAAAGAAAAGCATAAATAAGCACATCATAGTCAAACTTCTAAACCAAAGGTAAGTAGAAAACCTTAAAATAAGTGTCCCCCCAGCCATGCAAGAGCAACAAAAACAATCATATCGCACACAGGGAATAATGACTTAAATGACTACACACTTCTCATCAGAAACTATGAGCATTAGAAGACAGTAGAATAACATTTTTTTTAAGTGGAAGAAAATAAAATCTGTCAATCCCCCAGAATTCTATATCATTCAAATGGAAGATAAATAGATCTTCAGATAAAGGAAAACTAAGATAAATCACTGCAGCATATATGCATTACAAAAACTGCTAAGTAAAGTTTTTCAGGTTGAAGCAAAAAGACATTATGGATAAACTCAGCTCTTTAGGAACAAATTAATGGCACTAGAAATGGTAAATGACTAGGTAAACAGAAATGACTATTTTTTTCCTTCTTAATTCTCTAAAGTACATAATAACTGCTTAAACAAAAATTATAACTGTGTCTTGTGGGTTTTGTATTGTATGAGATTTAATACAAATGAAAACTATAGCATAAGCAATGGCACAGGAAGAGCTAAATAGTCTTATATGGTTGTAACTTTTCTATATTTTATGAAGGTTGTACACTATTAAGTGGACTGAGAAAAGTTAAGTATGTATGCTGTAATCCTTACAGCAACCACTAAAAAATGCAAATTAAAAAAAATCTAAAAATAGTTATATCTAAAAATTAAAAGAGATTCTGAGGAATACCCAAATAATTCAAAAGACAACAGATAAGCGGAAACAGAAGAACAAAATCAGAGGGGACAAATAGAAAGCAAATAATGTATTGAAGGACACAAATCTAAACATATCAAATATTACACTAATGTGAATGGGCTAAGCACTTCAGTTAAAAAGCAGATATTATCAAAATGGGTAAAACAGCAAGATCCAACAATACGCTTCAACAAGGGCATACTTTAAAGAAACAAAAGTAAAATGAACAAAAAGCAATATGCCATGAAAACAGAAAACATGAGACTAGAATGGCCACATTAATATCACACAAAAGCTACTACAAGAAAAAAAGTATGACCAGCAACAAATCGATATTTTATGAAGATAAAAGGATCAATAAATCAGGAAATTATAATAATCATCAATGTGTGTGCCTAATAACAGGGCTTCAAATTACATGAAGCAAAAATGGGCACAAAGAGATAAACACAATGATGATAGGTGATTTTTAACACTGCTCTCTGAGCAATTGATAGGACAACTAGACAAAAAAATAAAGACACAGAAAATCTGGATAACAATAATTTATATTTATAAATCATTACACCCAACAATTACAGAATATACATTCTTTTCAAGTGCACGTGATATGTTCATCAAGATAGACTGTTGCTGGGCCACAGAACAAGTCTAAACAGATTTTTAAAAGACTGAAATCATGCAGAGTATGTTCTCTGACCAAAAGAGAATTAGATTAGAAATCAAAAGCAACAAGATAGCTAGGAAAACCAAAAATATTTGTAAACTTGATCACACTCCTAAGTAATAAATGGGTGAAAGAGTTAAATCATAATGGAAATTAGAACATACTTTTAAATGAATAAAAATAAAAACATCACATATAAAAATTAGTAAAATGCAAATAAAGCAGTTCATACTAATAAATTCGTGGCTTTAATTTTTTTATATTAGAAGAAATGTCAGTTACCTAATCAGTTACCTAAGAATCCACTTAAAATCTAAAAGAGAGCAAAGTAAACCCGAAGTAATATAAGAAGGCAAATAATACAGACAAAAGCAGAAATTAATGAAATAGAAACCAAACAATAGAAAATATATCAACAAAGCCAAAAGCTGGCTATTCGAAAAAAATCAGCAAAATTGATAAATTCTCAGCTAGACTTATTGATAAAAAAGAGGATAGAACACAAATCACCAATATCAAAAATGAAAAAGATGTTATCACTACAGATTATACAGACGTTAAAAGATGAGAGAATATTATTAACAACTTTGTGCCAAAAATATGATAAATTGAATGAAACTGACAAATCCTTTAAAAAATACAACTTAACAAAATTGACAGAGCATGAAATAAAATATAAATAGTGTTAACATTTTTAATAGAAAGTCTATGAAAGAAATTGAATTTATTATCAGAAACTTTCCCTAAAAGAAAATCCCTGGCACAGAATGTTTCACTGAAGGAAGAAATAACACCAATATTACACAACCTTTCAGAAAATAGAGGAAGGAACACCTCCTAAGTCATTTTATTAGGTTAGAAATACTAAAACCTAATGAAAACATTACCCCTCAAGAAGAAAAGATATTCTTTACAAAATTATTTACAGATATTCTACATGAACACAGATGTAAAAATATTTACTAAAATACAAGTTAAATCTAACAATGTTTGAAAAGATAATATATCATGACTAAGTGGGATTTACCCTAGGAATGGAAGGTTTTTTCCAACATTCAAAAATCAATTAGTGTAATCCAACATATTAGTAAAACGAAGAAAAATCATATGCTCATATCAATAGATTAAAAGAAAATTGATGAAATTCAACAATGAATCATGATAAAACTCTGAGCAAACCAGAAAGGGTACTTCCTAAATTTAATAAAGTATTTGGGAAAAACCTATGAGTAGCACATACTTAATTGTAAAATATGGAACACTTTTCTCATAAGATCAGGGTTAAGGCAAGAATGTCTGCTCTCACCACTTCTGTTTATATTGTCCTGGAAGTCCTAGCCATTATAATGACAAAATAAATAAACAAATATTAATATTGGAAAGGAAGAAATAGTCTCTGCAAATTAAAAGTCTGTTTAAAATCCATTTACAATAGAATTTTTTAAACCATAAAATACATAAGAATAGGTATTACAAAAAACTTTTGAAACCTCAATACTTAAAACTACAGAACATGCTGAGACAATTTTTTAAAGACCCAAGTAAATGGAGGTATATATGTTCATACGATCTGATGACTCAATATTGTTAAGATACCAAATCTTCCCTAAATTGATCTAAATGTTAAAAACATTCCCAATATAAATCCCAGCGGAATTCTTTGTAGAAATTGAAAAGTTGATTCTAAAATTTATATGAAAATTTAAATGACCTATAATAGCCAAAACAATGTTTACAAGTAGAACAAGGTTGGAGGATTTCACAGCTGATTTTCAAATTTATAAAGCTACAATATCAAGACAGTCTACTTTTAGTGAAAGGATAAACATATAGATCAAAGGAGTGAAATAGAGTCCAGAATTAAGCCCACACATTTATGGTCAACCGACTTTTTACAAAGATGTCAAGATAATGCAATAAAAAGAAAAAGTATTTTCAACAAATGGTACATTGGATTATCTTATTTTTTTTTCCTGTCATAAATGACAGGATTTTCTTTTTTTAAGGCTGTGTAGTATACCATGAATATATACCACATTTTCTACCCCGTGGAAGTAACTATACATTTTACTATTTTTATTATTTTAATTGACACGTACCTATTTATGGGCTACAGTCTGATGTTTCAATACATATATACACTGTGTAATGATCAAATCAGGGTAATTAGTATATCCATTACCTCAAACATTTATCATTTCTTTGAAGTTAGAACACTCAAAATCCTCTATTCTATAATATTTTGAAATATACATTATTCTTAACTACACTCTACTGTTCAATAAAACACCAGAACTTATTCTTCCTATCTAATTGTAACTTCGTACCCATTG
Source organism: Homo sapiens (assembly GCF_000001405.40). Taxonomy (NCBI): domain Eukaryota; kingdom Metazoa; phylum Chordata; class Mammalia; order Primates; family Hominidae; genus Homo; species Homo sapiens. The sequence continues at coordinate 182,044 of NW_025791778.1, read as the reverse complement.
ACCAACCTCTCCTCAATCTCTCCTCCTTACTACTGCCCTACCCATCTCTGGTAATCACTGTTATACTCTCTGCTTCTATAAGATCAGCTTTTTTACATTCCACATGAATGAGATCATGCAGTATTTGTCTTTCTGTGCCTGGCTTATTTAACTAAACATAATGACCTCCAGATTCATCCATATTGTCACGAATGACAGGATTTCATTCTTTCTAATGGCTGATGAGTATTCCATTGTATATATATATATATATATATTTCACATTTTCTTTATCTATTCATCCACTATGAACACCTAAGTTGATTCTATATCTGAACTATCATGAATAATGCTGCAATGAACATGGGAGTGCGGATAGGTCTTTGACATACTGATTTCATTTCCTTTGGATATATACCCAGTAGTGGGATTGCTGGATAGTTGTTTTAGTCTCAATTTTTGAGTAACCTCCATATTGTTTTCTATGATTGTACTAATTTACATTCCTACCAACCGTGTGCAAGAGTTCCCTTTTCTCCACATCCTCTCCATCACTTGTTATCTTTCCTCTTTCAATAATAGCCATTCTACCAGGTGTGAGGTGATATCTCATTGGGGTTTTAATTCGCATTTTTCTGATGATTCATGATGTTGAGCATTTTTTAGTATACCTGTTGGTCATTTGTGTGCTTTCTTTTGAGAAATGTCTATTCACATCCTTTACCCATCTTTTAAATCGTGTTATTTGTTTTCTTACTATTGAGTTGTTTGAGTTCCTTATATATTTGGTATGTTAACTCCTTATCAGATCTGTGGTTTGCAAATATTTTCTCCCATTCTGTGGATTGTCCCTTCACTCTTGTTTTCTTTGCTGCGCAGGAGCTTTTTAGTTTGATGCAATCCATTAGTCTATTTTTGCTTTTATTGCCTGTGCTTTCAGGGTCATATAAAAAACATCATTGCTCAGATCAGTGTTATTGATCTTTCATCTTTCCCACTGTGTTTTCTTTGTTAGTTTTACAATTTCAGGTCTATGTTTAAGTCTTTAATCCATTTTGAGTTGACTTTTGTATACAGTGTGAGATAAGGGTCTAGTTTCATTTTTCTGCATCTGGATATCAAATTGTCCCACCACCATTTATTGAAGAGGCTGTCCTTTTTCCATTGTATATTCTTGATACTTTTGTTGCAAATCAGTGGACAGTAACTGTGTGGATTTATTTCTGGGAGCTGTATTCTGCTCCATTGGTCTACATGTCTTTTATGCCAGTACCATGCTGTTTTGATTATTATAGCTTTGAAGTATATTTTGAAGCCAGGTAGTATGATGTCTTCAGCTTCATTTTTTTGTTTGTATGTTTTGTTTTATTTATTTATTTACTTTGCTCAATATTGCTTTGGGTATTTGGGGTGTTTTGTGGTTCCATGCAAATTTTAGGGAAGTTTTTTATATTTCTGTAAAAACTTCATTGAAATTTTGATACGAATTGTATTGAATTTGTATATTGCTTTGGGTAATATGGACATTTTAAACAGTATTAATTTTTCCAAGCTATGAACATAAAATATATTTCCATTTATTTGTGTCTTCTTCAATTTCTTTCATCAATGTTTTAAAGTTTTCAACTTGCAGGTCTTTCATCCTCTTGGTTAAATTTATTCCTAAGTATTTTTATTTTCTCATAGCTATTGTAAATAGCATGGTTTTCTTGATTTATTTTTCAGATAGTTCAATAGTGTATAGAAATGCTATTGATTTTTGTAAGTTGATTTTTTATCTTTCAACTTTATTTTGTTTATTAGTTCCAAGAGTGTTTTGGTGGAGTCTGTAGGGTTTTCTTTATATAAGACCAAAGATAATTATGTCTGAGTAAAAAATAATTCATGACCCACAACCGTTACAGAAGTAGACCCACCAGAGAGGTTAAGATAATACTCTTATTCACAATCATCTAAAGAAGGCATAAACCAATATAAAGAGAAGTTTGTGGAATTATAGGAACTGTACAGTGGAGTAGGTGGTTAAGATAAATAAGGATGATTCTAATATCTCATTTTACAATTATGGGGCAAAGATCACTGTGGACCCTCGACAGACTTGTAAAATACAATAACAGGAGGAATAAACCCAGCATTTTTTCCATGTAAATGCTCAGACTTACTAAGGTGTTCAAAGGCAAAATAACCTGATAATTACTGTTATTAATAGGATACACAGAATAGATAAATAAGGGGTATGGACTCCCAATCCACACTGGCTTACAACACTATACTTCTACAGCACACTACTCTACCCAGGGAAATTCTGAAGTGATCTCTACAGTAAGTTGCCAGGAAAACTATGATCTTTAAATACTTAAATCATTTAAAGCACAAAATATGTTCCTTGCCACCATTTAAGAAGCCTCAGTCCAGTGCCTCATACCTGTAATCCCAGCACTTTGGGAGGCCGAGGCAGGCAGACCACTTCAGATCAGGAGTTCGAGACCAGCCTGGATAACACAGTGAGACTCCATCTCTATAAAAAATTAAAAATTAGCCAGGTGTGGTGGCACGTGCTTGTAATCCCAGCTACTCAGGAGGCTGAGGTAGGAGGATCGCTTGAGCCCGGGGTGTCAAGGCTGCAGTGAGCAGTGATCACATCACTGCACTCCAGCCTGAGCGACAGAGTAAAACCCTCTTTAAAAACAAAACAAAACAAAACAAACCAACAAAAAACCAGCCTTGGCCCTTTAATTTTCAACTCTTCTAATCTTCAACCTTTTCTTCTCTGGTACCATTTTCCCATGAGATATAAACTTACTCAGGCCTCCTTTATCTTTAACAAGAAACCTTTTTGTATCCCAATCTGGTTTTCCATATTTTGAAGATAATTGCTTTTGGGGGGTACTCAGTAGTTCTGTCTCTGTTTTCTTAATTACTTTAACTCTTTAATTCACTGCTTCTCCTATAACCACACTTCTAAAGCTGCTCATGCTAAAGTGCTCATGACATCATAATGACCAGTCCAATGAACACTTCAGAGACCTCTTCTTGACTTCTGTGACATCTTACAACTTCAATCAACTCATTTTCTTCAAACTTTCCTCTTTTGCTTTGCATAAAGGACCACTTCCTAGTTTTTTTCCTACATCTCCTACTGCTTTTAGACTGTGGACTTTCATTCTCTCAGACCTTTAAATGTGTTCCACAATATTTTGACCTTATCCCTTTTTTTCACACTTTATACATTGTTCATAGATGGTTTTATCCATAATCCAGCTTCCTTATGCAGATGAATCAAAGTCTATATTTAGAATTCAGCCCCACTCAGATCAACAAATTAAAATGATTATTGTCTACGTCTATTTACATGACATTTTGCATACTGAACTCAACATTTCCATGAACCTTGATAGCATCTATTTATTATTTTACTGTATCTCCCACATTTAGCCTTATCAATTCTATCCTTTATATCATATTAAAGCCCTTGCCTCTAGTCTGAATTTAAATATCCATAATTTCTTACCTGTATATTTTAATGATCTCCTTTCCTCTACTCTCATCCTGTCCAATGGATACTACACAATATTGCTAATAATGACTTCCCAAAATTTAATTCTTTCTTTCTTTTTTTTTTTTTTTTTTTTGAGACAGAGTCTCACTCTGTGACCCAGGCTGGAGTGCAGTGGCATGATCTTGGCTTACTGCAGCCTCCACCTCCAGGGTTCAAGCGATTTTCCTGCCTCAGCCTCCAGAGTAGCTGGGACTACAGGCACCCACTACCACACCTGGCTAATTTTTGTATTTTTTAGTAGAGGCAGGATTTCACCATGTTGGTCAGGCTGTTCTTGAACTCCTGACCTCAAATGATCCACCCACCTCAGCCTCCCAAAGTGCTGGGATTACAGGCATGAGCCACCACACCCAGCCCCAAAATTTAATTCTGATAACAGAACGTCTACACTTTAAACTCTTTTTCAATTTTTTTTTTCTTCACGCTTATTCTTAGAGATAAATTTTAGGAAAAAAGTTGTCATGCTAAAGCAAAATAATCATCTTACTGGAATTTTTATTGACACAGGGCCAAATCCAACTAGTTTGTGGAAAACATGCCTTTGTAATATTCTGCCTAAAAATACATTATGCCATCTCATTTATACAAGATTTTAAAATATTTTTCAACAAAATTTCATACTTTTACTTCATATTTCTCATTAAAGTTATTCCTAAAACTTTTGTGCTTATTGCTTTTCTGAATGAGATCTCTTTTGCCATTTTTTTTTTTACAATTGGCAAATATAAACACTATAATTATATGTGACATCCTATATGGGAAGATTTTTCTGCCTCAACCCCCTACCCCCCACCATACTGAGTTAGTTGCTTCCCCTCTGAGTTTCCTAGATACCATGTATTTATTTCAGTTGTAGCTTGAATTTGATTGTATTATAATTGATAGTTTACTTGTTTATTGTTAGATATCTTTTTTTTTTTTAAACAGAGTCTCATCTGTCGCCCAGGCTGGAATGCAGTGGTGCAATCTCCGTTAACTGCAACCTCCGCCTCCCTCTGGTTCAAGTGATTCTTGTGCCTCGACCTCCCAAGTAGCTAGGATTACAGGCATGAGCCACCATTACCAGCTTTAGATATCTTTTAATGATATGGATATCTTATTTGCCTACACATTTTAAATATCTTATGCTCAAAAATGTATTTTAAATAAAATGTCTGGAATAGAGAAATATGGAAGCTGTTTTATGTCAAGTAAAGCCACAAATATCACCTTTAATAAAGTTTGATTATATGAATGTTTTAGATGAATGCATGTGCTCTCTTGGCTCAATTAGCAAACATTTCATAATAGACCAGGTTTATGAATTATTTTTTCCCAAAATTAATAATAAGAGATATGAATCCCTTATCAAGGTTTAGGGAAAGTAAAGATACTATTGTTTTCAAAACAAAAGTAATTCAAATATTTTAAGATATACATAAAAGCATTTCAATGTTACTTAGATGCTAGTCACTGGTGATAGAACTCTATGATAGGGAATATCAGGTAATGGCAGCCTAAATTATTTACAGCAGTCATCCTACTGAAATCAACTAAATATTCTTGGGTAAAACATTAAAACAATTATCTTAAAAGCACTGAAAATCTGATAAGATAATGGGGAACTGCTAGGACAAATTGTGGAGGAAAGCTAAGCCCAAAGAGGTAAACAGAATATTGAACTTGACATAAAATTGGACATAAGTTGTAGGAAGACAGAAATTAAGAAGCAGGATGGGCTGGGCACCATGGCTCATGGCTGTAATCCCAGCACTTTGGGAGGCTGAGGCGAATGGATCACGAGGTCAGGAGTTCAAGACCAGCCTGGTCAAGATGGTGAAACCTCGTCTCTACTAAAAATACAAAAAATTAGCCAGGCGTGGTGGTGGGCGCCTGTAATCCCAGCTACTCCCGAGGCTGAGGCAGAGAATTGCTTGAACCCGGGAGGCGGAGGTTGCAGTGAGCCAAAATCCTGTCACTACACTCCAGCCTAGGCAACAGAGCAAGACTCCATCTGAAAAAAAAAAAAAAAGAGAAAGAAGAAAAAGAAAGAAAGAAAGAAAGAGAAAGGAAGGAAGGAAAGAAAGAAAGAAAGAGAAAGAAAGAAAGAAAGAAAGAAAGAAAGAAAGAAAGAAAGGAAGAAAGAAAGGAAGAAAGAAAAAAAAAGAAGCAGGATGTTCAAGATGGGGAGTCTTATGGGGCCTCCAAACTACATTAAGCTGGAACTTCAAAGGACTAATCTTTCCAGTAATAGTATGTGAAAACTAAACCCACCTACTCTCCAGCCCAGAAAACTGCTGGGGAATTTGACTTGGCACCAAAAAGGCCAGAAGGAAAATAGGAAAGGAAAATTTAATCCTATAAACTTGTAACTAGATACCAGATATCCTGCATATTTTTATCTGAGAATACGTAGTCTAAGTAGCCAAGGAGCTTCAAGTCTTGAACTTGATTTAAAGTGGTTTACTAGCAGTAGTATTCACTCACTGGAAGGTGTATAAAAATCTATCGTGAAGAAAGGTATTTCCATCCAAGATCTCAGGATATCCTGGCAAATATCATTTTCAGGATATGGACCATCAAAAGTCAAATAAAAGTTGGCACACATAAAAATATGGAGCTGTCCAGCTGAAACAGCACACAGCAGGTATACACTTGCAGACTTCAGACTCTGGAATTATCAGATGAAGATTTAATATATTTAAATAAATAAATGACAAGCTTAAGAATATTTGCAGGAGCCAGGAGCAGCGGCTCATGCCTGAAATCCCAACACTTTGGGAGCCAAGGTAGGAGAATCACTTGAGCCCAGGAATTCAAGATTGCAGTGAGCTATGATCACGCCTGAGCGACGGAGCAAGACTTGTCTTGAAAAAAAAAATTGCAGGGAACAGAAACCTATAAAAAATATCATGGCAGACTTGATCAGTAATAATTATAATTTTTAAAATGAAAAACACAATAACCAAAATTAACAACTCAAGGAATACTTTTAATAGCATGTTGGACACACAAGAAGACAAAATTAGTAAAATTGGAAGAAAGATAATAAATTACTGATGAAGCAGCACAATGAGACAACAGTGGAACCCAGAAGATATTGAGGAGGTAACTTTAATGTACCAAAATGAAATAAATGCCAATCTTGAATTTTACACCCATGTAAAAATATCTATCAAGAATGACATTTCAGGCAAACAAAAACTATAATAGTTTATCACTAGCAGAAATAGAGGTAAATAATACATAACGCTAAAAGTTTCAATTTAGCAGAAAGATATCACATATTTATATTTGGTTAAGAATCTAATAAAATAAAATAGCCTTAAAACATATGACACAAAAAATTGACAAAATCCAAGGAGAAACAATTCACTATTCATCGTGGAACACTTTAACATAATTTTCTCAGTAACTGATAAAATAAGCAAACAAAAAGAATAAAAAAGAATGCAGAATATTTGAACAACACAACTAGCAAAGATGACCTAATGGACATATACAGAACACAACAACAAGCAATGTCAGAATACTGCTTTTTCTTGAACATGCAGAACATTTATAGAAATTGACCATTCACACCCTGAAATACTATATAATGACAATGAATGATACACAGCTACACACAACAATATAAATGTATCTCACAAATGATAATGTCCAGCAACACACACATACATACAAGTTGGTTATTCCTGTTATTGAAGTTTTCAGTACCCTTATTGATTTTCTTTTGTCTCCTTGTTCTGTTTTTGAGCAAGGTATGTTAAAATTTTCCATTTTGATTAACCAAACTAATACAACAAGAAATAGAGGCTCTGTATAATTCTATAACTATTAATGTTATAGACATTGAATTTATAATTAACATTCTCATGAAGAGAATTCTAGGCCTATAAATTTCACTCTTAATTCTTCAAATGCTTATGGAAGAAAAAAATGCTGATTTACACAAACTTGCTATGATCTGAATGTTTGTGTTCCCTCCTCCTTTGCAATCATAAGTTGAAATGCTAACCCCTAAGATTATGATATTAGGAGGTAGGGCTTTTGTAGAGATGATTAGATCACGAGGGCACAGCTCTCATAAAAGAGGTTCCAGAGAGCTACCTTGCTCCTTCCAGAAGGTGAAGAGACAGCAAGAAGGTGACATTCTGTTTTATGAACCAGGGAGTGGGCCATTACCAGACACAAATCTGCCAGGACCTTGATCATCAACTTTCCAGCTTCCAGAATTGTGAAAAATAAATTTCTATTGTTTTTAAGCCACCCAGTTTATGCTATTTTGATATAGCAGCCCAAATGGACTAAGACAACTCTTCCGAATAAGTAAAAGAAAAGTAACACTTCTTAACTTACTATATAAAGCCAGGATAGCCTTGATGCCAAACTCCGACTAGAGCATTATAAGAATGGAAAGTTAAAAGCCAATTTCTTGTGCGTGTGTGTGTGTGCGCATCTGTGTGTGTGTGTGTTGCTTCTTAACTTTTAAGTTCAGGGGTACATGGGCAGGTTTGTTATAACGCAAACTCATGTCACAGGGGTTTGTGGTACCGATTATTTCATCATTCAGGTACTAAGTCTAGTACCCAATAACTATGCCTTTAAAAATAATTATTTTTTTCTGTAGAAACGCGTTTCTATCATAAACATATATTTAAAAACTGTAAAGAAAATGTTAGGAAACTAAGTCTAATGATATAAAGAAGGATTATACATCATAAGCAACCTGAGTTTATTCCAAGAATGCAAGATTGGTTTATCATTAACAAATCAACCAATATAATGCATGCTATTAATAAAAGGATAAAAATCCATATTATCCATTCAATAACAGAAAATATGTGATAAATTCAATGCCTATTCATGATTTTTAAAAAACATAATAAATTAAAAAACAAAGGGAACTTAATAAATCTGATAAAGGATTTTTGCAAATAAACCCAATCAAACAATGTATTTCATATTAAATATTTAAAAACTTCCTCTCTGAGACCAGGAATAAGACAAGATTATCCATTAACATTACTTCTATTCAATTTTATACTGAATTTCATAGGCAATGACAGAAAGCAAGAAAACTATGTGATTAGAAAGTTTTTAAAAGACCAGGCATGGTGGCCTATGCCTGTAATCCCAGCACTTTGGGAGGCTGGCGTGGGAGGATTGCTTGAGCCCAGGAGCTCCAGACTAGCCTGGGCAATGTAGTGAGACTCTATCTCTATTTTTTTAAAAAAAGAGAGAAAGTAAAAAATACAATAATAAAACTAACATTATTTGGGAATAGCATGACAGTATATGTAGAAAACCCAAAATATAAAAATATGAGATTTTACTATTTAGCAAGAACATTGGATACAAAGTTAACATAAAATCAGTATTATTTCTATATACTTTCAACAAAAGCCAATTATCAAATTAAACTTTTTTTTTTTTTTTTGAGACGGAGTCTCACTCTGTCGCCCAGGCTGGAGTGCAGTGGCGCGATCTCGGCTCACTCCAAGTTCCGCCTTCCAGGTTCATGCCATTCTCCTGCCTCAGCTTCCCGAGTAGCTGGGACTACATACGCCCGCCACCACGCCCGACTAATTTTTTGTATTTTTAGTAGAGACGGGGTTTCACCGTGTTAGCCAGGATGGTCTTGATCTCCTGACCTCGTGATCCGCCTGCCTCAGCCTCCCAAAGTGCTGGGATTACAGGCGTGAGCCACCATGCCCTGCCTTTCTTTTTCTTTTTAGATGGAGTATCACTCTGTTGCCCAGGCTAGAGTGCAGTGACGCGATCCCAGCTCACTGCAACCTCTGCCTCGCAGGTTCAAGCAATTCTCCTGCCTCAGCCTCCTGAGTAGCTGGGATTACGGGTATGTGCCAACATGTCCAGCTAATTTTTGTATTATAAAATTAAACTTTTAAAATAGCATTAAAATATCAGCTATCTAATAAAAGTTGTGCAATACCCCTATATACACATACACACACATAAACATTAAGATAAAATAATAAAATAAATGGAAGAAGCCGGGCGCGGTGGCTCACGCCTGTAATCCCAGCACTTTGGGAGGCCGAAGCGGGTGAATCACGAGGTCAGGAGATCGAGACCATCCTGGCTAACACGGTGAAACCCCGTCTCTACAAAAAATACAAAAAATTAGCCGGGCATGGTGGCGGGCGCCTGTAGTCCCAGCTACTCGGGAGGCTGAGGCAGGAGAATGGCATGAACCCGGGAGGCGGAGCTTGCAGTGAGCCGAGACTGCGCCACTGCACTCCAGCCTGGGCGACAGAGCGAGACTCCGTCTCAAAAAAAAAAAAAAAAGATAAATGGAAGAATATACCTTGTTAATCGGTTGTCTGTCTCAATATTGTCAATGTTAACAAGCTTCATATTTTTATAGATTCAATAAAGATCAAAATAAGATATTTTCAATATACCCCATATTTTCTACAGATTCAATATAGTGCCAATTAAAATCAAAGCAGGGTTTTTTAAAATAGAAACTGAGAAGCTGAATCTACAATTTATATAGAAATGCAAAGGGCCAAAAATAGCTAAGTTAATCTTGAAGCAGAATAACAAAGTGAGAGAACTTACACAATTAGATATCAATACAAATGAAAAGTTACTATATTTAACACAGAATGTATTGGCACAAGAATAGACAAGTTGACCAATGAAACAGAATAGACAGTCCAGAAACAGAATATATAAAGTCACGTTGCTTATGACAAAGGTAGCACTGCACAGTAGCAGCGAGGAAAGTAGGCAATCTAACTGGATTTACAAGTGGAAAATATAAATCTTGACTTCTACATTGCACTATATTCAAAAGCAATTTCAGGTAATTTAAGATCTAAATGTGCAAGTTAAAACAAGAAAGCTTCCAGAACTACAGCAACCACTAAACAGATGTGGTTATTTAAGCTTAAATTAATTAAAATTAGTAACATTAAAAATTGAGTAGCCCAGTTTCACTAGCCACATTTCAAGTGCTCAGTAGCTACACATTCCATATATGCAGATAGAGAAAATTTATAGCATGTCAGAAAGTTCTATTGGATAGCAATGTTATAGAAGAAAACACAGGAATATATCTTCATGACTTGAAGCAGGATATGTTTTCTTTAAAAGGATAGAAAGAATACTAAATAAAAAAGACAACTTTGGCTGGGCGTGGTGGTTTAGGCCTCTAATCCCAGCACTTTAGGAGGCCAAGGCGGGCAGATCACTTAAGGTCAGGAGTTCGAGACCAGCCTGGCCAACATGGTGAAACCCTGTCTCTACTAAAAGTATAAAAATTAGCCGGGTGTGGTGGTGGGTGCCTGTAATCCCCGCTACTCGGGAGGCTGAGGTGGGAGAATCGCTTGAACCCGGGAGGCAGAGATTGCAGTGAGCCAAGATTGTACCACTTTACTCCAGCCTGGGCAACAGAATGAGAATCTGTCTCAAAAAAAAAAAAAAAAGATAATATTGATAAATTGGAGCTCATTAATTGCTAATCAAAAGACACCATTAAGCAGTATGGAATATGTGTAAATACTATACTACTATGAAATAATCTCGTTTATATTTTTAAGTGAAAAAACTCAAAGTGGGGAAGAATGTGTATTGTATGGAATAATAGATACTAGACTTCTCTAAATATATTTTGTTTTATAAGTTTATTTTGGAGCCATGTAAATATTTCACATAATTATAAAAGAAAATTAAAATTTAAAAAGCAAGCCCTAAATTTGAAAGCGACTTGAAAAAAGCCTAGCTCTGTATCTAGCTGGTGGCTTAACTACACAGAGAGGAACTTTTCCAAGATACTTTAAAACACAATAATTTGACTGTACATGCCTACTGGGCATTTGTAAGGATGTGCCTTATAAATGAAAAGAATGACAAAAACTTAAACTGCTACAGTATCATATTATTTCTGTAGTGCTGAAATTGTTTTCTAAGTCCATTGTTTGAGTCCCGTGGGATAACAAATGAGTAATTCTGTTGACGTTAATGAAAACTGGGATTTGACGTATGGGAGAAATAGGAATGTAAGATTGATGAAGTTAAGTAAAAACCTCGGAGTGCTGAACTTTATTAGATTAGTATAAACATGTGATGTATTTTATCTTTTAAAAAATAGACATCCCTTAGCTCAGTAGCTGAAGATACCTAGAAACAGCAACTGACCCAGCAGCAATAAGCACACCTGTTGTTGAGATTATATCTCTAAGTATCATCTTTCACTAAAAATAAGTGAAAGCTCTTTGAAAAATGGCTGATTCTGGGAAAGGAAATGTACAAGATAATCTGAACATCTTGTAATACCAGAAATCAAGGAAGCATTCAAAAGACTATTAAGACTCACATGAAAAGGATTCAGGGTGTTATCACTGGGGAAAAGTGGGTGACAAGCACATGGGATCTCTCTATACTAGTTTTGTAACTTTATGTGAATCCATAATTATTCCAAAATAAAAGGTTTAAAACAAGATACACAAACACACTCACAAAGACTCAGGAGCAAAGCTGAACAGTTCCCAACTTGCCAAAGTTAGCATAATTTGATCATTAAAAAGATAATTGACATGGATTGGGCCATATCAAATATGTTTAAGTCAATGAGTTCATAATGACACCTAAAAAAGGCCTTGGTCCTTTTTGTAAGATGGCCAGGAATCAATTCATTGTTTTGAATACTGCTAAACAAAGGGGAAGAATCAAACATTTATCCTGCCTTTCCTGTGTGAACTGTACCTCAGGCTAATCAAATAGTTGAAGACCCATTACAGAAATGTTACAATTAATTAAAAAAAAGAAGAAATGATAGAATTAGAACGGTAGCTCTCGAAGTGTGGTCTATGGACCCTTTGGGTGTTTATGAGGTGAATATAATTTTCAAAATAATGTTAAAACATTATTTGCATTTTTCACTATATTTACACTTGCATTGATAATGCAAAAGCATTGGTGGGTAAAGCTGGCCACCATAGAACCACAGAAGGAGTCAAAGCAGTGGCTCCACACTGTACTGGTGGTTATTACATTCATGATTGGACATTTGCAGTAAGAAAAATACCAGTAAGAATGCCCTTGATGAAGCACTGATTATTATTAATTTTGATAAATCTCCACAATTAAGTACAAATCTTTTAAACATTTTGTGTGAGGAAATAGAAATGAAAAGTATGTTTAGAGTACTTCTGTTGCACACTGAAATATAAACATATAAGGAAGGAAATAAATTAATAAAGTATGAAAATTAATAAAATAGAAAGCAAACATACAACAAAGCGAACCCAAAACACCAAAAGTTAGCCTTGGAAAGACTAATATCATTAATAAACTACTTCCAAGTCTAGTCAAGAAAAATGAGAGGTGACACTAACACCAGGATTGAAAAGGGAAACATCACTACAGATCCTGCAGATGTGAAAAAAAGTCACAACAGGACATTATAAACAACTTTATGCCAAAATATTCAAAAGTACAGATAAAACTAACATATATCTGAAAAAATTAAAGGTACAGGAATGAAATAGGAGCAATAAAAATACAAAGAAATTTGATCTCAATTAAAATTTTCCTACAAAGAAAACTGTAGGTACAGAGAGCTTCACTAGTGAATTCTACCAAATATTTAAGAAAGCTGTATCACCAATCTCAGTAAATGTGTCCGAGGAATAGGAAAAAAAATGTGAGAGAGACAGAGAGAGAGACAGGATTTCCAACTTGTTTAACAGGGCCAGCCTAACCTAATAAGAAAAGAAAAAGACAAATCAACCTAAAAACCCACTATTAAGACTTCTTAATTGGTTTTTATTTTATATTAACATTATTTTGAGTTTAAACAAAACAGCTGTAGTCTTTGCTTAACAATTCTAAAGAATAACCATAATGTGTTTGAATTCAGAGTATATTTTGAAGGTATGTCATTAGAGTGCCCCTATGAACACAGAATATCTGTAGATGGTAACCAGATGGCTCTAGGAACAGCCAAGGAATTTGGGATGGGTTAGAAATAAAGTGTTTATCTTTCTCTACAGCACAGGAGAATACGAGATTGCATATTTATTTCCAGATTCCAAAACAAGTTCCAAATGAATATATAATAACCTTTTGTGTTTATAGTCCTTTCTTTTTCATAAATGCAATATAACAGACATGTAATTTATTTATATCCTGAACCATTATCTTATGCCATCAATTAAAATTGGGAACAAAATGAGTGGCTATCTACCTTTATTATTTAGCTTTGTTTCTTAAGAACAACCTTTACCAACAAATTCCTTACTTCCCATAATACTTTAGTCAGGATCCTGGACTGTAATCCATATTCACTTGAAGTTCTGCCAAGTGTTAATATTTCCGATATTCATATGACATGCATTTGAGCATTGTAAAAACCTTTCAGCAATTTAGTCCACCTTCATTCCAACCTAGCTAAGTTAATTTAGTTGTTGAAATATTATTGTTTCCCTCTAACTGAAAATATTGAAGACAACAAAAGACAATAAGTCATTAACATTATGAGACACATTGTCAATACTTTCCCACTTATATGTTTCCAAGGTATTGCTTTTCTCTTATGTCCACTCAAATTATAATGTTCTTTTTCTTTCCTTTTTACTGATTTGAGGGTCTATATTATACAATATTATTGTGTTGTCTATATGAGTTTTTTAATTTGAATATATTTCATATGTCATGCAAACTTCCTTAGTTTCATCATTCTAAAGTTTTTTAGTGTGGTTATCAGCTTCAAAGTCAAAATAGATATACAAAACATCTAATTACCCTATGGGAAAGTCTACTTGTGGAATGTATGTTAAATAAAGCACCTTGAATGCCACAAACATTCTACTACTGTTAACAAATGACATTGCAAAGAGGAGATATCCTATTTCCTATATACCCTGGCAAAAAAGAAGATGCTTTAATTCCAGGTGAACAATACACTAATATAACATTGGTATGTTGAAACTATGTATAACTTTCATGTGGAAATTTAATAAGGCCAGTTGTATGGTAAGTGTTTCATGCATTTTTGCTACATTAATATATTTATACCTTTAAAAATTGTCAATGCAGTTTTTAATAAGTAGAAATTTATATCTCAGAGGTACCCTCTTAGATACCATTCTAAAAAATTTAAATTGCCCATCAAGAATATTAACAGAAAAAAATGGACATGAGGTACACATTGTCTAATTGTTATACAATCAGTGAATCAATTTTGTTTATATCTTAAATATTATCAATTGGAAATACAGAGATAAAAACCATGTTTTCCTGAATTTCTTAAACTGATAATTTTTAGTATTACAGGCTATGTTAATATATACTGTAAACTTACCGTAAACTAAAATGAAAGAACTTAGAATTTGAGCAAAATATAAACACATATGCATCAACATGATTCTGTAAGACTCAGACACACATTATAATCATTGTTAAATGTCATGCTTTTCAAATGATTTGAAATAAAATGAAAGCAATAAATATTTTATTTCTAGAATCCTGTTGTTATTAAGGCATTCAGGATACTATGACAAGAATTCTTTTCTAAAGAATTAAGATCAGATCAATAGGTAATTGAACAGGAAGAAGTAAATAACAAATGCCTTTGTGAATTACAAATACCCCATATTTATAGAAGTTATTTTATTCATGGTTTTATGAATCACAATTCATTTATTTATAAGGAAATATCCAGCCCACAACAATTATTAGCAGACCAATGAGCTACCTAAAAAGCAAAATATCAACAATGATGGAAAAAGACTGTTCAACTGAATGAATGGGATGGTACAATATTCCTGCACATATGAACAGTATATCTCTATTATTTTGTTAATCATTCATATATGTTTAAAAATTTGGTTTGAAGGGTTGTTTTTTCCTCTGTCATTCCTATATTTTTCCTTTTAAATAGCTAATTTTCCTTCTAACTTCTAGATTCATCAGCCTTCCTATCGCTTACTTATGTTTCCTTTCTAGTCTAGTGAAAATGTGTTTCTAAAAAAAATTCCTCACTCCCAAACTTTACAGCCATTACTGGTATTCTCCTCTCTTTTTGTTACAGAAAGCAATGAAAATAAAAGAAATAAATAGTGAAATTTCTTGGTAGGAAAAGTGTTCACATATTAAGTGCTCTGATACCTGAAATACTAGCATTGTAGTGCACCAATTTCCTTCCCTAAAATTAACTGAGATTCTATTAAATAGTATCCACTGCAAATATCACAATGTAATGATGTGCATACCTATTAATTCCTTTGTCATCTGTAGAACTGGACTCATACTTAGTCCCAGACACAGCATTGAAGTTTTTCTTGCTAGCTCTACAATCAGAAAATTCCTCTGTTATGTTATTAGTGTAGGTCATGAGGAAGAAAATAATCATTGAAACAGTACATTTGAAAGTGACCTTTAAACTGTTAACCACATATACACATCTAAAGTAGAAAAGTAAGTTAAAGTTTTTCCCTCTGTGTTGAACAGTGTTACCATCCAATTCATATATGCACATATTTATTCATTCAGTCAGCATTTACTAAGCATATCTTATATGCTGGATTCTATTATATTGTGAAAATATTAAGTACAGAAAATTTTAACATATGTAAATTTATTTTATTTGCAGTTAACATCATTACTTGAGGAAGAATAACTTACAAGCCACTTTTCCCCTTATTGCCTAGAATAGTAAAACAAGGAATGCTTCATTTTCCTTCCTTAATTTCTACACACCTCCTTCTCTTGCATCTAGGATTTCTATGAGAAGTCAAAAAGTAATACCGTAGAATTGCTTCAAAATGTTGTCCTAACTGCACTCAAGAAGTTTGAGGGCCAGCTGCAGTGGCTCATGCCTGTAATCCCAGCACTTTGGGAGGCCTAGGTGGGAGGATCACTTGAGGCTAGGAGTTTGAGACCAGCCTGGGCAACATAGTGAGACCCCTGTCTCAAAAAAAAAAAAGAAGTTTTGAAATGCCAAGGGCCACTAACAGATAAATTGAAATATTTGAATCACTTAACTTTCATTAGATACATTACTCTCAAATATGATATTTACTTATTTGTTAAGTGTATTTGTCCCCTAAAATAAAAGAAATTAAATCCAAGTTGAATGGACTTTGGATGGTAAGTGCACCTTTGAACACATAAATATTTCTGACATAAAAATTACTCATCTTTCCTCTTTGTAAAATATTATCAATAGAAACACAAAACAAAAGGTTGTCAAGTCCTATATCCAACAATATGATCTCCTATCAGTATAAATAGATGTTATGAGAGAGGCTTACAGTTTTTGTGTAAGCAAAAACTCCAAAGCAGTTACAAAACACTGCTATGGAGCTATCAGCTATGTTTTAGGGTGTCATTCCCAAAGAAGACACCTTCACCAAAATGGTATTCATTAAAAGTATAGGCTAGAGAATACACTGTTTTTTATTAAATGGTATATCGTATTAAAGATCCAACTAAATCTGTGATCTCTATCACAAAGCCTTCTCTGACTCCTTCCTCCTCACTCAAATGTTCTCTTATGTTCCCTTTCTCCCTTCTTTTAACCCCCATTGTAATTTATTTTTACATCTTTTGTGGTTATCGTCATCTTTTAATAATGCATTGCAATAGTTTAAGTAAATGTTTCACCTTCCATATTATATTCATATAAAGCAGACTCTTACATATTTTTCATTCTTCACTTTAAATATTAGAGTGCCTTACACATCTGTTGCTTATAAAATATTTTGGTATTTTATTTTTAATTTTAGACCTTTATGTCATATTACTTTTATTGTTCTTAAATAGGTTTTAATTTTTGCCCTTGTTTCTCAAAAATAAACTATAAGTCCCTTGAGGCCTAGGGCAATCTTCTAATACTTCTATACTTCCAGATTTCTTGGCACAGGAAGTGCTAAGAAGGAGTGTTTAGTTCAATTGATGAAATGTTGTGAAAGGCTTGTCTAAGAAATATTTCAAAACACAGCTAGCAGCCATCTCCGGGCCAAAGGAATCAAATTCCATAAAATTTGCTTACCATGGCATTGACATTAGCGTGATCCCCTTTCCTATTCCGAATCTGAATACAGGATATTGGCAAATTCAGTCCTACCCCAGTGGCAAGATTTCGCAGGTCGGCAGCATTGTACTCCCCACGCAACAGCAAACTGTTATTATCAGAACCAAGTCCCAGAGAGGCCCGATAGAGATAAGTCTGAGAAAGTCTCTCAACTGTAGTGACATCTATGGTGGCTGATGTCATGCAAGGATTTGAAACCATCTTACTTCCATACCTCAGATCCTCTGTAGAGCGACAGCAGCTCTGAGCGCAACAGCCTGGGCTCTGGTGCAACTTGGTACACACGAAGAAAAGTAAGCACCCCAGAAATAAAAAGGAAATACAAGCCAAGGCAATTACTAAATACAAGTTCTGGGCAGAAAGCTGCCCTCCTGGTTCCCAGACATCTTCAAAGTCTGGAAGTAACTGAGGGACAGAGTTGCTCAACAGCACACCCAGAGTGACAGAGGAGGAAAGTGGTGGGTCTCCATGGTCCCGAACCACTACCACCACCCTCTGCTTAACTGCATCAGTGGGAAGAACTAAGCGAGCAGTACGGAGCTCACCTATATTGGCTGAAATTCTAAAGAGACTAGAGTCAGACGCCCGGGAGATGTGGTAGGAAAGCCAGGCATTAGAACCACTGTCAGCATCCTCTGCTACCACTTTTGTGACCAAGTGTCCAGTCCTGGCAGAGCGGGGCACAATTTCCACTGGGACAGAACCATTTCTGGGCAAGGGAAACAAGATAACCGGATAATTGTCATTCCTATCTACCACAAACAAGTTTATAGTCACTGTTGCACTTCTGGGAGGAATGCCACCATCCCGGCCTTCTACTTGGAAATGAAACCCCCTGAGCTGCTCAAAGTCAAAGGAAGTTTTGGCAGTGATGGCCCCACTGGATGATTCCACTGCCAGCAAGCTAGAGGCTGATGGCCCTTCAGAGATAACATCCAACAGCTCATAAGAGACAAGGCCATTCTTCCCCAGGTCGGGGTCCTGGGCAAACACTCGGCCTAGAGAGGCCCCAGGGCCATTGTTTTCAGCAACGAAAAGTTCCTGCTGGGGTTGAGGAAAGTTTGGTGTATTGTCATTCACATCAGCAACTGACACAGTGATTGTCCTTCGGGTGCTAAGTGGGGGTGAGCCACTATCTGAGGCCGTGATCAGGACTTGGTATTCACTGATCTGCTCCCGGTCCAGGGGCCCATCAATCAGCAGGCTGTAGTAGTTGTCAAAGGAAGCCGTCAGCTGAAAAGGGCCTGCACTAGACATGCCACAAATGACCCTACCATTAGAATCGAGGTCTTCATCCTTTACACTAAAGAGAGCAATCACTGTGCCAGGGGCAGCGTCCTCAGGTACTGGGTTCGAAAGAGTCAGGAAGTCCAGTTCGGGGGCATGATCGTTCACGTCAGTCACCTCCACCAGCAGTTTAGCGGTGCTAGCTAAACCAAAGACACCTTCGTCCCTCGCCTCAATGTATGCCTCCAAGAGCGTTTCAGGCGGACCTAGTGAAGCAGCTACTTGCACCTCCCCACTTTTAGGGTGCACGTGAAAGCGGTGTCGCAGCTCTGCTTGCGTGCTGTTGCTTAGGGAGTACTGGACTTCCCCATTGGACCCTTCATCTGGATCCAAGGCTTGAACTCGGAATAACACAGTCCCATTGGGTGCAGTCTCTGGAACCTTGGTGCGGTATACGGAGCGCTCAAATACAGGCGCGTTGTCATTTGTGTCCACCACAATGATGGTGACTTGTGCGTCTCCTGAGCGGGCAGGTAGCCCGCCGTCCCGAGCTGTAAGCACCAGCAGGTGGGTGGCGCGCTGTTCGCGATCCAGTGCTTTCTCCAACACCAACTCCGGGTATTCGCTGCCGTCAACCCGCGATCCCATGTCCAGGCGAAAGTGCTGACTGGGGCTTAGGCTGTAGCTTAGTATCCCATTGCTTCCCTCGTCGTCATCTTGGGCATTCGGGAGAGTAAAGCGGGCTCCGGGCGTCAGGAACTCGGGGATGTGCAGCTGCACGTCGCCGGCAGGAAAGAGAGGTGAGTTGTCATTGGTGTCCAGGACGTGAATCCGAATCTTGTGCAGCTCCAGCGGGTCCTCGAGCACCAGGTCGTAGGTCAAGACGCAGGCAGCTTTGGCCCTGCACAGCTGTTCGCGGTCCGCCGGCTCTCTGACCACCAAATTGCCGCTGGGTAGATCCACCCCGAAGTAGAGCTCGCGGTGGCTGGAAAGGAAGCGAAAGTTCCGCGAGGACATAGCGGCCGCTGGCAGCCTCAAGTCCGCGGAGAGATTGCCTACGGCTACGCCCCGCTCCGTCTCCTCCGGCACTGAGTACTCGAGCTGTCCCGCTGCAGCGCCGCAGGAAACCCACAAACATAAAACTGCCACCCCACAGCCCACCATCCTCCCTCTAGGCGTCCACGTTCCACCAACACGCTACACCAACGGTGACCCAGGACCATGCTCCGGACTCCTGGAGAGCACGAGCCGCGGGGAAGAGCACGCTCCTGCCGGCCGTCACTGCTGCGGGCTGGATACTCAGCGACCGCCGACGTTGCGCCTCCCGAACGCCGGCATTGCCGGGGCTGGCCAGCTGGGAGCCGGGCTTGCTAGGCTGGAGGCTGGGCAGCCGTCTGGGAAAGCGGAGCCGGCCGGGTGTTGAGGAGCGCAGCGCCGCCTAGGGGTGCAGAGACGAGGCCGCCCGCCCGGGCGCGAGAGGTGCTGTCTCCAGTAGCAGCGGGCTGGGGTCTCGACCACCACGCTGGCTGCGGGCGCAGGGCGGAGCCTGGGAGACGCCCCGAGACACTAACACTTCTCTCCTTAAACGGTGTTTTCTAGGACAACGCCCTGAGGCTGCCCAGATCTTAACCTCCACATCCTCTGCCCGCAGATTGCTGATAACTGTGGCTGAGCCCAGCTGGGCTCTTCCTGCCGCCCTTTGGGAGCCGCGCGTCGGGTCCCGGCGCTCTGACCCCGGCGCACCTCTCCGGCGGAGAGGGCGGGACTCAGCGTGGAGCTGCCGAGCGGAGGCGGCGAGAGGCGGGACGGTGAACGTGAGCGACCACACCTTCTAGGCTTAAGGAAACAGGAGCCCCCCGAAAGAAGTGCTGCGGGGGGCTTTCCGCGCTGGATCCTGCTGCAGAGCTTTCCGCGCTGGATCCTGCTGCGGGTTGAAGTCTGTCCTGCACCCTCTTGTATCCCAGGAGCTGCCAAGAGGGCAATAGAGACGACAAGGAGGGGAAGAAGGTTGGGGAATAGTGTCCGCATCAAACTGCCTCCGGACTCTGGCTTTTCGAGGCAGCGGAGCCAGCGAGCTCAAGGCTTTTTTTTTGCGTGATAGCAGTTTCTCCTTCTCCAAGAGGCTCTACTTGGGAGTGCTTTGCAAACGGCCCTTGACGATCTGGGTGAAAGAGGAGGTTATAAACCAGTCAATAGCAATAACTAGAAACTCAAAGACTTGACGACCCGTCCCCAAAGAAGACGTGAGAAGTGGAGGGGAAAGTACTGAGATACTCATTAGAGTTTGACCAGGAAACTACTCTGTAAATTTTCTTTCTGTAAATATTTAGAAAACACCATGAGGCAGGATAAGAATAGGCTAGATACCCACCCTCGCTTTATTATTATTATTATTATTATTATTATTATTATTATACTTTAAGTTCTAGGGTACATGTGCACAACGTGCAGGTTTGTTACATATGTATACATGCGCCATGTTGGTGTGCTGCACCCATTAACTTGTCATTTACATTAGGTATTTCTCCTCGCTTTTAATTTGGTCTTTTGCGTGGATATTGGGACAGTGATCAGTTCTATGAGAAACATCTCTGAGCCACAACAGATACACCCAAATTCTGCCTAACACCCTACAACCAGTTCCTTTCCCTAAGAAGGAGGCGAGCCAAAAGGAGACTCATTGACTATTGACTATGAAGCACTAAATTCCTCACTCAAATCCTTCTTTTAATACAGGTGCAATATGTCCAAAGCCCCAATAATGAAACATTTGAAAGGCAAAATCTGAACACAGATCAAGAATTAAAGTTTCCAGGACATATTTTCTGGTAGAAACCTGCCTAAAAGTATCGATAATTATTGAAGCTGGGTGATGGTACATTGGGGTCAATTACACAATTCTCTCAACTTTTGTGTATGTTTGAAATTTTTTTTCCTTCCTTCCTTCCCTCCTTCCTTCCTTCCTTCCTTCCTTTCCAGATGAGCGTGTTGCTTTGTTGCCCAGTCTGGTCTCAAACTTCTGGGCTCAAGCGATCCTCCCATCTTATCTCAGCCTCCTAAAGTGCTAGGATTACAGACATGAGCCACTGCACTCACCTTGCATTTTTTTTTTAACTTTTTATTTTATTTTATTTTATTTTATTTTATTTTATTTTTTTTTTTGAGACAGGTTCTTGCTCTGTCACCCAGGCTGGAGTGCAGTGGCACGATCTGAGCTCCCTGCAACCTCCCCCTCCCAGGTTCAAGCGATTCTCTTGCCTCAGCCTCCTAAGTAGCTAGGACTACAAGCGCGCACCACCATGCTCGGTTAATTTTTGTATTTTTATTAGAGGTGAGGTTTCGCCATGTTGCACAAGCTGGTCTCGAACTCCTGACCTCAAGTGATTGGCCTGCCTCGGCCTCCCAAAGTGCTGGGATTACAGGTGTGAGCCCCATGCCACCGCACCTGGCATCAGCCTGCATATTTCTATAATATTTGAAAACATTTAAAAATTGCTGATTAAAATGGTGGGGAGAGGGGTAGCTCGGGCATTCTCTTTTTAACACTAAGAGTGGGATTGATAATGCCAGTGTTCCACTAAAAACCAGTTACCTCCCTAAACACACAAACCCATTCGTTATCTCTTCTAGGGAACTAGAAAGGGCACACTGTGATATAAGGCAATATAAGTAGTAAATACCCCTTGGCTAGTTTGCCTTTTTGAATTAAGAAACCAAAAAATCATTGACACCAAGTCTCAGATAAAATTAAAGGAGGAAACATGTCAGCCTATTAGGTAGTCACAAGTACAGACCTCATTAGATCTCACCAGGATGCAAAACAGCCCATAAAAATTGAACTTATTCTTCACCAAATTTCTAAACCAAAACTAATTTTCTGCTTCAGTGCCAGAGATTAGGATGTGCATTTCTTCATTTTAAATTAATGCTGCTAAGCAAGCTAACTGCTTTGGAATGAAAATTTATTCTTTCTGCCTTAAACAGATGAAATACAACTGTAAAGATGTACCGAACTTTTAGGTCTGCAGCCATGCCTCCAATTATACCAGGTTTAGGAATTCTGAGCTGCACCTAGAGGGATAGTATGTGTGGGTATAGATTAGGGCGTGAGGAAAAAAGGAAAAATGCATACAGAGAACAGTATGGGAAATCTTCACAGAAACTCCTCCTCTTTCACACGCTTCTCAGATTTTTGGCTTCCCTTTTTCCCATTTCTCTATTTAAACTGCCACTGACGTCTATTTTCAGAAGATTTCATTTGTGAAAAGAATGAAGAAACCATCCACCCAGTAGGATTTGTCCCACCATATGCCTCCCTAACTTTTGGCATAACATTGCATTCTTATTCAAGTAAATTGGGATTTGTGAGAAAGCAACATTTAAGAGAGAACGATATCCCAAAGATAAGGGAGGCTAAAGATTTTTGCCTTTTGGATAAGATGACCAGATAAACATTAAAATTATGAATTAACAAACCTTCTCTTTAGCAGGACCTTTCATTGCTGATATTTCATTTTGTCCTTTTTTTGGGACAGAATCTCACTTCATCATCCAGGCTGGAGTGCAGTGGTGTGAAGATGGCTCACTGCAGCCCCTACCTCTCTGGGCTCAGGTGATCCTCCCACCCCAGCCTCCCAAGTAGCCAGGATTATAGGCACACACCACCATGCCCAACTAATTTTTAAAAATATTTTATAAAGATAGGGTCCCACTATGTTGCCCAAACTGTCCTTGAACTTCTAGGCCAAGCGCCCCCACGCCCAGCTAATTTTTAATTTTTTGTAGAGACAAGGTCTCACTATGTTGCCCAGCTGGTCTCAAACTTCTGGGCTCAAACGATCCTTTCACCTTAGCCTCCCAAATTGCTGCAGTAGATGCATCTGAACAAAAATTTATCTTTCTATAATTTTTTTTATATTCCACCTTCAAAGTGTGACCCTAAAAACTTAAAATCATACTCCCATTGGTCAAATAAGTGCTGACATGAGGAGACCTAGCTCTTTTATTCTAAATACTATACATGTAGTAATAGAGTCCGAAACTGCAGTCCAACAACCATTCTCATGGCTTGCCTATTGTCTGAGATATGCCACTGGCTGAAGACAAACTGGATTTCCATTGCTGGAAGTAAAAGTCTGAAGTTTATTTGTATCTCAAAATTTTTTCTTGAATGATGTCTTTGGATTTTTTCCCCTTGTCTATGTATTTGGTCTCTTTGAGGACATCTATTAGCAGTATGCTGTATCTCCTTTTTCTGTATTCCAAAGCTACAGTTTTCTCTCCAGTTCTTTTAAATTCTTTATTTTTTTCCATTTATTTTTCTCAACCTTGTCAAGTGTTTCTTTTTGTTCTTGACTGTATGGAAGCAGAGCCTGTTCACTTTTTTACTGCTTGCAGTATAGCCATATTTACTGTTTGATGGAGTGGCTTATGTGTACCATAGTTTTAATATATCTTCAACTGATGAGAACTGGCGGCTACAGGGCAACTTGTCATCCTGACTTTTCTCCTTACCTTGCCACATCCTTAGGTTCAATCTTGAAATAATGGTGCATCTGCTCACTCTCAGATTTAGTCCTGCCTTCTCTCCTATTTTGTGTTGACAAATAGGATAATGAGAGAGTTCTGCCCTCAGCCTCTGTACCTAGATCTTTTTAATCCAAAACAAGGAGTCTTTGGTTTTGCATCTCAGTGAGAATCACTACTCTAGAAAATACCAATATACCAACCCTTTCCAAGATCTTCAGTGAAAGGTATCCTCTCCTAGCATTTTCATATCTTGGTCCAATCTTCATGGCACTTAGTAACTTATCTTCATACACATCATGGTTGAGGTTCAAATGTTTTACAAAGTTTCATTAAAGATAAGACTTTTTTTTTGTCTGCTGTACTTTTTGTTGTTTTTGATGAGTTTCATGGAGGATAAGAGACATTTAAAGGTGAATTTTCATTTATCTATAGTTGGTAGAAATACCACTTTTTGCTTAGTGGGATTGCTACATTTTGAAGGTATGTGGGAAAATTACATTTTTTATATTTATTTTTTTAAACTAATCATTTCATTGAACTCTTTTTTAGTTCTATTTTTTCCTTTGGTTTTCTGGGATTTTACAAGTGTAAAATTATATTGACTATAAGTTTTATCATGTAATATATATTTATCCTCCTTTCTAAAATCTTATATATATACTGTATATATACACACACATCTATAAATATGTCTATATGTGTATAGATATTCACACATGTATCTTATCTTGTGTTATCTAGAACATCCAAGTCAGTATTGAATAGTAGCCAAGAAGTGTCCTGTTATGCTTATAATTTTTATGGGAGTAATTCGTGTGTTTACTGTTTAAAATTGAGGTGGCCAGTGTTTGATGATAACTGTTAAATTTTTATTAAGTTCCCTTAAAATAGCTACCATAATGATGATCTGATGATATTTTTCTTATTACCTTTGAAACCATAATATAGTATGAGCTCTACTATAACATAATAGAGCTTTTTTTGCAGAATGTTCTATCAGCAGATTTTTATTTCAGGTTAGGCACTATCTAATAAACTAATCTCAGGTAGAGTGGTTTGGTAGTGGTTGCAGGCCTCCCTTTTCAGACACCATTGAAGAAAATTTTTGTCTGCAGCACAGAGGAAAATCTAGTGTGAATGTTTATCAAATATGTAGAAATATGAAACTTGAATATAGGCAAATATATTATGTGATTGGACCAGACAGATTAGCTCTTAATACAATGGCATTCAGCAAATTTGAGGTTTTTTTCAAGTAAGTATAAAAGTCTAGGACTTTTTGATCTGTGGCTTAATATCATCTAGCAAAAAAGACGTGAATTATCGTTGTCAATCTATTGTGAAAAAACTGTGCTTTATGTGTGTTAAAAAAAAAATGCATTAGCTGGGTGTAGTGGTGTGCACCTGTAGTCCTAGCTACTTAGGAGACTGAGGCAGGAGGATTCTCTTGAGCCCAAGAGTTCAAGGTTAGAGTGAGCTATGATTGCCCCACTGCACCCCAGTCTAGAAAACATAGCAAGACCCTGACTCTGAAAAAATAAGCAAATACAATATTATACTCTAGTACTACATGTGTAGTGTTTAGAATGAAAGGGCTAGATCACCTACTCTTGGAACTGATTTGAGAACCAAAATATGACTTTAAGTTCTAAGGGCCACAGTTTGTTTGTTTTTTTTTTTTTTTTTAGATTTGGTCTTGCTCCGTCGCCAGGCTGGAGTGCAGTGGCGTGATCTTGGTTCCCTGCAACCTCCACCTCCCAGGTGTAAGCAATTCTCCTGCCTCAGCCTCCTGAGTAGCTGGGACTGCAGGCGCACACCACCATGCCAAGCTAATGTTTGTATTTTTAGTAGAGATGGGGTTTCACCATGTTGGCAAGGATGGTCTCAATCTCTTGACCTTGTGATCCATCCGCCTCGGCCTCCCAAAGTGCTGGGATTACAGGCGTGAGCCACTGCTCCTGGCCTAAGGGCCACACTTCGAAGGTGAAATAGAAAACCTGAGTCTAACGAATTGCATAAAACAGTATGTAGAACTCTATTGTTGGACCAAAAACATACAGAAATATAACAAATTTGTCAATTACAGTATAAAAGAGGTGTGTGGGAGAACAGCTGTATCTGATTAAAAAAAGACACCAGATGGTAATATGAATCCACAAGAATAAATGAATAGAACTAGCAATGACAAATAAGAAATGCCATAAATATATAATTTTCTCCTTTTTTCTCTTAGTGCCTCTAAAAAATATAAGATTACATAAAGTAATAATTATTATAGCGATGTATTGTTGGGTATATAATACTATAAATGTGCATTGGTTTTCTGTGGCTGCTGTGACAAATTACTACACACTGGGTTGCTTAAGACAGTTTTTCTCCCAGGTTTGGAGAGGAGAATTAAAACTCAAGATGTTGGCAAGGTTGCACTCCCTTTAGAGGCTCTACGGAGAATCTGTTTCTGCCTTTTCCAGGTGTTGGTGGCTGTTGACATCACTCCAATCTCTGTCTCCATCTTCGCATGGCCTTTTCCTCTGTGTCTGTTTTCCATCTTCTATCTCTTATTTAAAAAACAAAACAAACTTTTCACTGGAATTAGCCCCCACCTGAAAATTTAGGGTAATTTCATCCCCAAATCTCTAATATAATTATGTCTTCAAAGACTTATTTCCAAATGAGGTCACAGGTTCCAAAGGTTACTATGTGGACATATATTTTTGAGGCCCACAATTCAATCCACCACAAGATGTAATATGTGTAACAGTAATACAAAAGGCAGAAGAGAAATAAAGCTATCTAGAAGTAACATATTTATATCTCACTAGAATTAAGTTAATATAAATCTGAAGCAGATACCAATAAGCTAAAATATATATGGTAAACTCTAGAGAAACTACTGTGAAAATAACTCAAAAGATACAGTTTAAAATTTATTTTAAAAATTACCATGTTACATTCTAAAATATTCACTTAATATAAATCAGTAAATGAAAAGTATAGGAAAAAAAGAGAATTAAAACATATAGAAAAAGGAGTAAAATAACAAACATAAATCCAAATATATCAATAGTAACATCATGTGAATACATTAAAGAACCCAATCAAAAGGCAGAATTGTCAGTCTAGAGTTTTTAGGAAAACAACATCCAACTATGTGTTGTCTGCAGGAGACACTTTTAGATTCAAAGATACAAACAGATTGAAAGTAAAAGAATGGGAAAACATATATTGTACAAACAGCAACCACAAGATAGCTGGAGTGACTACACTAATATCAGACAAAACAGACAAGACAAAAAGTGTTACTAGAAATCAAGAAGGACATTTTATAATGACAAAAGGACCAATCAGGAAGATATAGCAACTAAAAACATACTTGCATCTAATAATAGAGCCCCAAAACACATGAAGCAAAAACTGGCAGAAATGAAGGGAGAAATAGACAATTCAATAGTCATAACTGGAGACTTTAATACTCCACTTCCAATAATGGACAACAACTAGGCAGAAGATCACTAGGAAATGAAAGATGTGAACAACACTAAAAACCAACTAACCTAAACGATATCTGTCTTAGTCTGTTCAGGATATTATAACAAAATGCCATATGCTGTGTAGTTAATAAACAAGAGAGATTTATTTTTCACTGTTCTAGAGGCTTGAAAGTTCATGATTCAGGCACCAGCAGATTTAGTGTCTGGGGAGGGGGCCACTTTTTGGTTCATGGATGTCACATTTTTGCTGTGTCCTCACATGGTGAAAGAGGCAAGGCACCTCTCTGGGCCTCTTTTATAAGGGCACCAATCCCATTCATGAGGGCTCTGCCCTCATGACTTAATTATGTTTGAAAGGTCTCACCTCTTCATACCATCAACATGAGAATTAGGTTTCAATTTATGAATTTGGGGAACACAAACATTCATATCATAGCAACATCTATAGAACATATAGCCAATAGCAGCATAATATACATTCTTCTCAATTGCACATGGAACATTATCTAAAACAATCCTCAATAAGTTTAAAAGGATTGGTACCATCCAAAGCATTCCCCTTGAGACTTGGAATAAGACAAGGATGCCCACTGTCACCACTCCTATTCAACATCCTACTGGAAGTCCTGGCCAGAGAAATCAGGCAAGAGAAAGAAATAAAAGGCATCCAAATAGGCAGAGAGGAAGTCAACCTATCTCTCTTAGCAGACAATATAATTTTATACCTAGAAAACCCTATATTCTCTGCCAAAAAGCTCCTACATCTGATAAAACCTCCAGCAAAGTTTCAGCATACAAAATCAATGTACAAAAATCAGCATTTCTGTACACCAACAACATCCAAGCTGAGGGCCAAATCAAGAACACAATGCCATTTACAATAGACATACACAAAAAGAAAATACCTAGGAATATGGCTAATCAAGGATGTGAAAGATCTCTATAAAAAGAATTATAAAACACTACTGAAAGAAATCAGAGATGATAAAACAAATGGAAAGACCTTCCACGCTCATGGGTAGGAAGAAACAACATTGTTAAGATAACCATACTGTCCAAAGCAATTCACAGATTCAATGATGTTCCTATCAAACTACCAATATTATTTTTCATAGAATTAGAAAAACAAACTATCCTAACATTCATATGGAAAAAAAAAAGAGCCCAAATAGTCAAAGCAATCCTAAGCAAAAAGAACAAGAAGGACATCACACTACCCAACTTCAACTATACTGCAAGGCTACAGTAACCAAAACAACATGGTACTAATACAAAAACAGACACATAGACCAATGGGACAGGTTAGAGAACCCAGAAATAAAGCTGCACACCTACAATTATCTGATCTTCAACAAAAACAAGCAATGGAGAAAGGACTTCCTACTCAATATTGCTGGGATAACTAGCTAACCATATGCAGAAGACTGAAAACTGGACCCCTTCCTTTCAGCATGAACAAAAATCAGCCTGAGATGGATTAAAGAGTTAAATGTAAAACCTAAAACTATACAAACCGTAGAATAAAACCTAGAAAATATCATTCTGGGCATAGGCCCTGGCAAAGATTTCATGACAAAGATGCCAAACGCTCTTGCAGCAAAAACAAAAATTGGCAAATGGGGCCTAATTAAACTAAAGAGCTTCTGCACATCAGACTATTGAGGTGGAGCAAGATAGTGGAACAGAAGCCTACACCATCCCCCCCCTCCCCCGCCACATGAACACCAAATTGTAACAACTATCTGCACACGGAAAAGCGTCATTACAAAAACCAAACATCAGGTGAGCAATCGTAGTACCTAGATTTAACAACGTATCACTAAAAGAGGCATTGAAGAGGGTTGGAGAGACACTCTGGGATCACCACCATCACCCCTCCCATATCCCCCAGCAGCAGCTGAGCAACGTGGGGAGTCTGCGCACTTGGAGGAAGTAAAGCACAGCAACTGGGGAACTTTACATTAAACTCGGTGCTGTCGTAGCAGGGAACAACACTGTGCTGGACTCAGCCAGCAGCTGCACATGAAGGGAGATTTTGGAACAGGCCTGGCCAGAGGCGAATCACTCATCCCAGCAGTCAGAACTCAGCAAGCCTCACCACTATATGCTTAAGTGCTCTGAGGTTCTAGGTAAACTTGAAAGACAGTCTAGGACACAAGGATTGCAATTCCTAGGTAACTCCTAGTGCTGGGCTGGGCTCAGAACCAGAGGGATAGGGGTGGCACATGACCTAGGAAGTCATCAGCTGGGGCAGCTAAGGGAGTGCTTGTGCCACCCCTCCCCTAATCCCAGGCAGTGAAGCTTGCAGCAACAAAAGTCACTCCTTCCTTCTGCTTAAGGAGAGGAGAGAAAAGAGTAAAGAGGACTTTGTCTTGCATCTTGGATACCAGCTCAGCCACAGTAGGATAGGGCATTGAGTAGAGTCATGAGGCCCGCATTCCAGGCCCTAGCTCATGGATGACATTTCTAGACACACCCTGGACAAATAGAAAACCCATTGCCTTGGTGGGAAGGACCCAGTCTTGGCAAGATTAATCACCTGCTGACTAAAGAGCCCTTGGGCACCAAATAACCAGCAGTGATATCCAGGTAGTATACTGTGGGCCTTAGGTTCTGAGATGTGCTGACTTCAGGTGTGATCCAGCACATTCCTAGTTGTGGTGGCTACAGTGAAAGACTCCTTCTGTTTGACAGAAACAGAGGAAAAAGTAAAGGGGACTTTGTCTTGCACCTTTGGTACCAGTTTGGCCACGTGGAGTAGAGCAACAAGCATGCTCTTGGGGTCCCCAAGTCCAGGCTTTGGCTCCTGGAAAGCATATTTGGATCTTCCCCAGGGCAGAGGGGTGCCCACTTCCTTGAAGAGTCCCAGGCCTGGCAGCATTCACCACAACACAACTGAACAGCCCTTAAGCTTTAAGTGAACATCAGCAGTGGCCAGGCAGATTCCCTGTGGACCAGTGGTAGTACTGGCCACAGGGAGAGGCACCTCTGCCTGTGGAAAGGGGAGGGAAGAATGGGAAAGACTTTGTCTTGTGGTTTGAGTGCCAGCTTAGCCGTAGTCAAATAAAATATCAGGCAAATTTCTAAGTATTTTGACTCCAATCCCTGACTCCCAAGTAGCATCTCTGGGCCTGCCCAGGGCCAGGGGGAACTTGCTACCCTAAAGGGAAGGATGCAAACTTGGCTGGTGTCACCCCCTGCTGATCTTAGAGCCCTAGGGCCTTGAGTGAACATAGGTGGTAGTCAGGTAGTGGTTACAGCAGGCCTTGGACAAGACCCAGGGCTGTGCTGGCTATAGGTCTGACCCAGCACAATCCAAAGTGGGGGCCACAGGAGTGCTTGCATCACCATACCCCTAGTTCAAGATGGCCCAGCACCTTGAGAGAGAGAGAGAGAGAGAGAGAGAGAGACAGAAAGAGACTGTTTGACAGAAAGTAAGGGAAAAGAACAAGTGCTTTTGCCTGGCAATCCAGATAATCATTCTGGATCTTATTCAAGACCTCCAAGATGGTACCTCTACTAGTCTGCAAAAACCACAGTATTATTGGGATTGAGGCCCAAGCTCCTTCAAATAAAAACCTTCTGGAAAACCTTCTCAAGAAGGACAGGGATAAACAAGCCCAGACTGCAAAGACTATAAGAAATACCTAGCTCTTCAATGCCGAGACACTTACTGGTAAGAATAGGCATACAGAAAAACACAGAATATTATAACACTGTAATTGTGGTATGTAAACTTATCTTAAGTAGAAAGAGTAAATGATGAACTGGTCAAAAATAATAACAACCTGGCCAGGCATGGTGGCTCATGCCTGTAATCCCAGCACTTTGGGAGGCCAAGATGGGCGGATCACTAGGTCAAGAGATCGAGACTATCCTGGCCAACATGGTGAAACCCCGTCTCTACTAAAAATATAAAAATTAGGTGGGTGTTGTGGTGGTGCGTGCCCATAGTCCCAGCTACTCAGTAGGCTAAGGCAGGAGAATCGCTTGAACCCAGGAGGCAGAAGTTGCAGTGAGCCAAGATCAGGCCACTGCACTCCAGCCTGGTAGCAGAGCAAGACTCTGACTCAGAAAAAAAAAAAAAAAAAAGACAACTTTTCACAACATAGTACAATAAGACACAGAGAAACAACACAAAGTTAAAA
Source organism: Homo sapiens (assembly GCF_000001405.40). NCBI lineage: Eukaryota > Metazoa > Chordata > Mammalia > Primates > Hominidae > Homo > Homo sapiens. The sequence goes on along the minus strand of NW_025791778.1, from coordinate 150,064 downwards.
GCAGGAGGATACAGTTAAAGTGTAGAACTTTTATTAGTCTTCCTTTTGTGTGTTTGTTTTTTGTTTATGCAGTCTGTTAAGTTGCCATCAGTTTAAAATAATGGGTCATAAGATAAGTCATAAACCTCATGTAACCTCAAATGGAAAAACATACAATGGATACACAAAAAATAAAAAACAAGAAATTAAATCATACCACCAGAGAAAATTATTTTCATGAAAAAGAAGATGGAAAGAAGGGAGAGATGACCATGAAACCACGAGAAAACAAATTACAAAATGGCAGGAGGAAGTTCCTACTTAAATGAAATTATTGAATGTAAATGGACTAAACTCTCCAATAAAAAGAAATAAAGTGGCTGAATGGATGAAAAAACATGACCCAATGATCTGTTGCCCACAAGAAACACTTCACCTATGAAGATACACATAGACTGGAAAATAAAGACATGGGAAAAGATATTCCTTGCTAATGGAAACAAAACAGGAGCAGGGGTAACTACACTTATAACAGATAAAATAGATCTCAAGACAAAAACTCCAAAAAGAGACAAAGAAGGTCTTTGTACAATGATAATGGGGTCAATTCAGCAAGAGGATATAACAATTATAAATATATATGCACCCACCATTGAAGCACCCAGATATAAAAAGCAAATAGTATTAGAGCTAAAAGAGAGATAGAGATCACAATACAATAATAGGTGGAGAATTCAACACCCCACTTTCCGTATTGGACAGAACTGACAGACAAAAACTCAACAAAGAAACATCAGACTTAATCTGCACTATAGAACAAATTGACCTAATAGATAGTTATGGAGCATTTCATCCAACAGCTGCAGAATACACATTCTTCTCAGCACGTGGATCATTCTCAAAGATAGACCATATGCTAGTCACAATACAAGTCCTAAAATATTTTTTTAAAAATGATATCATATCAAGATTCTTCTCTGACCACAATGAAGTAAAATTAGAAATAAAAAAGGGGAATTTTGGAAACTACATGAACACATGGAAATTAAACAATATGCTCCTGAATGACCAGTGGGTCAATAAAGAAATTTAAAAGGAAATTGAAAATTTGATTCAAACAAATGATAATGGAAACACAACATGCCAAAACCTATGAGATACAACAAAAGGAGTACTATTAGAGGGAAATTTGTAGCTGTAATTGCCTACATTGGAAAAGAATGAAAACCTCATTTTAAATAACCTAACTATACATCTTAAAGAACTAGAAAAGCAGCAGCAAACTGAATCCAAAATTAGTAGAGAAAATAATAAAGATCAAAGCAGAAATATATTTGAAATGATGAAAATACAAGAGATCAACAAAACAAAAAGTCAATCTTTTGAAAAGATAAATAAAATTGACAAAGTTTTAAACAGACTAATGAAGAAAAAAAGAGAGAAGACCCAAGTAAATAAAATCGGAGCTGAAAAAGGAGGCATTACAACTGATACTGCAGGAATTCAAAGGATCATTAGTGGCTATGATGAGCCACTATATGCCAATAAATTTAAAAATCTAGAGGAAATGGATAAATTCCTAGACACATACAACTTACCAAGGTTGATCTATGAAGAAATTAAAACCTAAACAGACCAATAACAAGTAATTAGATCAAAGTTGTAACAAAAAGTCTCCCAGCAAAGTAAAGCCTGGGACCCATTGGCTTCACTGCCAAATTCTACCAAACATTTAAAGAAGAACTAATACCAATCCTACTCAAACTATTCCAAAAAGTAGAGGAGGGGTTAACTTCCAAACTGATTCTATGAGGCCAGTATTATCCTGATACCAAACAATGACACATCAAAATAAAATAAAACTCCAGGCCAATATATCTGATGAATATTGATGCAAAAATCCTCAACAAAATACTAGCAAACTGAATTCAACAATACAGTTAAAAGACCAAGTGGGATTTATCCCAGGGATACAAGGATGATTCAACATACACAAATCAATCAATATGATACATCATATCAACAGAATGAAGACCAAAAACCATATATCATTTCAATTGATGCTGAAAAAGCATTTAATAAAATTCAAAATCCCTTTATGATAAAAACCCTCAAGAAAATTGGCATAGAAGGGACATACCTCAAAGTAATAAAAGCCATCTATGACAGACCCACAGCCAACATCATATTGAATGGAGAAAAGTTGAAAGCATTCCCCCTGAGACCTGGAATAAGTCAAGGATGCCCATTTTCACCACTTCTATTCAACATAGTACTGAAAGTCTCATCCAGAGTAATCAGACAAGAGGAAGAAATAAAGGGCATCCAAATTGGAAAAGAGGAAGTTAAAACTGTTGCTGTTTGCTGACAATATGATCATGTACTCTGAAAACCCTAAAGATTCATCCAAAAAGCTCCTAGATCTGATAAATGAATTCAGTAAAGTTCCAGGATACAAAATCAATGCACACAAATCAGCAACACTGCTATACACCAATAATAACCAAGCTGAGAATCAAATTAAGAACTCAATCCCTTTTACAACAGCTGCAAAAAAAAAAAAAAATACTTAGTGTACTGGTTAATACTGAGGGTCAACTTGACTGGATTACAGGAGGCAAAGTATTGTTCCTGGGTATATCTGTGAGGGTGTCATCAAAGGAGATTAACATTTGAGTCAGTGGACTGGGAAAGGCAGATCTACCCTCAATCTGGGTGGGCACAATCTAATCAGCTGCCAGCACAGCCAGAATAAAAACAGGCAGAAGAACATGGAGAGATTAGACTGACTTAGCCTCCCAGCCTACATCTTTCTCCTGTGCTGAATGCTTCCTGCCCTTGAACATTGGACTCCAAGTTCTTCAGCTTTGGGACTTGGATTGGCTTGCTTGCTCCTCAGCTTGCAGATGGCCTATTGTGGGACCTTGTGATCATGTGAGTTAATACTCCTTAGTAACCTCCCCTTTATATATACATCTATCCTATTAGTTCTGTCCTCTAGAGAGCTCTGACTAATACAGATTTTGGTCCCAGGAGTGGTTCCAGAAGAACAGACTATTAAGGATGGAGTTCTTTCATTGGTTTTGGGGTTTCTGGAGAAGGCTGCTTAATATGATTAGACCCAAAAATGCTAAGGACTGTACTTCTAATAGTATGGAGAACACTGATAGTCCTTGGCACGAACTGTTTACAGAGTTACACAAAATAAATTCATTTGACACTCCTGATGCACGGTTCGTGAGAGGCAAGGAGTTTAGTAACTCTATATGTAATACCTTTGACCATATGTGGGGAACTAAGGAACATAATGAAGTTGGTTGGTTCCTCCTAAGTTCACTGGACAAAGTGATGAAAGAAAATGATGAACTTAGGGATTCTAATTCCTAGCTTCAGAAGCAGATACTGAACCTCAAACCTGCTAAGATTGCCCTGAGTGAGAGTCTTATCTCCTGTAGAGAAAGAGCTGAAATTGCGGGAAATTGGACACAAGTTCTTATCATACCAGTGGCTGACCTGCAATGAAAGGTGCATGCACAGCCTTGCCAGGTGTCTACTGTTGAAATGAGGGCATTGATTGGAAAAGAATGGGATCCTGAAACTTGGAATGGGGATATGTAAAAGGACCCTGATGAAGCTGGGGACACTGAGATTATAAATTCTGATGAAACTTTTTTTGCCAGAAGAAACAGCTTTCTCATCCCCAGTAGTGGCAACATGTCCTCCCCAACCCACACTGCCATCAGCCTTTCCACATTTGTCTGAGGAGAAAAACCCTGCACTGCCTGAGGCAACAGTGATGGCTTCCCCTGAGGCAGTTGCCAGGCAAGATAATGTTGATTCTCCTCAGGACCCACCCCCCACCACCCCTGTTTGCTTCTAGACCTATAACTAGACTAAAGTCCCAGGAGGGCCCTAGGGGTGAGGTTCAGAGTATAACCCATGAGGAGGTGTGCTACACTCGAAAAGAACTGCTTGAGCTTTCTTATTTATATAAGCAAAAATCTGGAGGACAGGCATAGGAATGGATATTAAGGGTGTGGGATAATGGTGGATGGAACATAGATCCAAGGCATTGGATCAGGCTGAATTTATTGATTTGGGCCCACTAAGCAGGGATTCTGCATTTAATGTTGCAGCTTGGGGAGTTTAAAAAGGTTCTGATAATTTATGTGCTTGGTTAGCTGAAATATGGATTAAAAGATGGCCCACTGTGAGCAAGCTGGAAATGCCTGATCTCCCTTGGTTTAATGTAGAGGAAGGGATCAAAAGGTTTAGGGAGATTGGGATGGTGGAGTGGATTAGTCAGTTTAGACCTACTCATCCCAGCTGGGAGGATCCAGAAAATATATCCTTGACTAATACTTTGCAAAATAGATTTGTGAGGGGAGTACCTGCATCCTTGAAGAGCTTTGTGATTGCTCTTCTCTGTATGCCAGATTTTACAGTAGGAACCACAGTCACTCAACTACAAAACTTAAATGCAATGGGAATAATTGGATCTCGAGGTGGCAGGGGCCAGTCAACTGTCAAAGGCAAGGTGGGCATAGCTACCATAATGGACAGCAGAGGCAAAGCAGCAATCACAATAGTCTGACTCATGTAGATCTCTGGCATCTGTTGATTAATCATGGTGTTCCTAGAAGTGAAAATGATAGGAAGCCTATTGCATTCTTATTTAATTTATATAAGCAGAAAACTTCCAGGTCAAGTGGACAAAAGACTAATTTGAATTATAAAAACAGAGGATCAATTTCCCCTCAATCAATTTCCAGACTTAAACCAGTTTACAGACCTAGAATCCCTTAAATGAAGGGGAGGCTGGTTCCCCTTGACAACAATTTACGCTGTTAAAAGATCACTTATTATGACCAAGTGGGATTTATCCCAGGGATACAAGGATGACACTGACAACAATTTATGCTGTTAGTCTTTCTCCCATCCTTCCCCATGGAGACCTACGGCTTTTTACCAGAGTAACTGTGATTGGGGAAAGGGAAATGATTGCCATTTCAGGGACTACTGAACAGTGTCTCTAAGCTGACGTTGACTCCAGGGGACCGAAAACGTCCTGGTGGTCCTCCAGTTAAAGTAGGGGCTTATGGAGTTTTAGCTGAAGTCTGACTTAGAGTGGGTCCAGTGGGTCCCTGGACTCATCCTGTGGTCATTTCCCCAGTGCCAGAATGCATAATTGGCATAGGTATACTTAGCAGCTAGCAGAACCCCCACATTGGCTCCCTGACTGGTAGAGTGAGGGCTATTATGATGGAAAAGACAAAATAGGAAGACCAATTAGAGCTGCCTCTACCTAGAAAAATAGTAAATCAAAAAACATATCACATCTCTGGATGGGTTGCAGAGATTAGTGCCACCATCAAGGACTCAAAATGTGCAGGGGTTGTGATTCCCACCACATCCCCGTTCAGCTCTCCTATTTAGCCTGTGAAGAAGACAGATGGATCTTGGAGAATGACAGTGGATTATCATAAGTTTAACCAAATGGTAACTGCAATTGCAGCTGCTGTACTAGATGTGGTTTCATTGCTTGAACAAATTAACACATCTCTTGGTACCTGGTATGCAACCATTGATTTGGCAAATGCCTTTTTCTCCATTCCTGTCCATAAGGCCCACCAGAAGCAATTTGCCTTCAGTCAGCAAGGCCAGCAATATATCTTTACCATCCTACCTCAGGGGTATATCAACTCTCCGGCTTTGTGTCATAATCTTGTTTGGAGAGAACTTGATTGATTTTCCCTTCCATAAGATATCACACTGGTTCATTACCTTGATGACATTTTGCTGATTGGACCCAGTGAGTGAGAAGTAGCAAACACACTGGGCTTATTGGTGAGACATTTGCATGCCAGAGTATGGAAAATAAATGACTAAAATTCAGGAACCTTCTACCTCAGTAAAATTTCTAGGGGTCCAGTGGAGTGGGGCCTATCAAGATATTCCTTCTAAGGTGAAGGATAAGTTGCTGCATTTGGCCCCTCCTACAACCACGAAAGAGGCTTATTTGGGACTATTGGATTTTGGAGGCAACACATTCCTCATTTGGGTATGTTACTCCAGCCCATTTATCGAGTAACCCAAAAGGCTCTCACTTTTTAATGTAGTACAGAACAGGAGAAGACTCTACAACACGTCCAGGCTGTGTGCAAGTTGCTCTGTTTCTCGAGCCATATGACCCAGCAGATCCAATGGTGCTTGAGGTGTCAGTGGCAGATAGGGATGCTATTTGGAGCCTTTGGCAGGCCCCCATAAGTGAATCACAGTGGAGACCTCAAGGATTTTGGAGCAAGGCCCTTCCATCTTCTGCAGCTAACTACTCTCCTTTTGAGAGACAGCTCTTGGCCTATTACTGGGCTTTGGTGGAAACTGAACATTTGACTATGGGTCATCAAGTCACCAAGCAACCTGAACTGCCTATCATGAACTGGGTGCTTTCTGATCCATCTAGCCATAAAGTGGGGTGCGCACAGCAGCATTCCATCATCAAATGGAAGTGGTATATATGTGATCGGGCTCGAGCAGGTCCTGAAGGCACAAGTAAGTTACATGAGGTAGTGGCTCAAATTCCCATGGTCTCCACTCCTGCCGCCCTTCCTTCTCTTCCCCAGCTTGCAACAATGGCCTCATGGGGAGTTCCCTATGATCAGTTGATGAGGAAGAGAAGACTAAGGACTGGTTCACAGATGGTTCTGCATGATATGTCCACCACCTGAAAGTGGACAGCTGCAGCACTACAGCCCCTTCCTAGGACATACCTGAAGGACAGCAGTGAAGGGAAATCTTCCCAGTGGACAGAACTTCAATCAGTGCACCTGGTTGTGCACTTTTCATGAAGGAGAAATGGCCGGATGTGCAATTATATACTGATTAATGGGCTGTAGCCAGTGGTTTGGCTGGATGGTTAAGGACTTGGAAGAAGCATGATTGGAAAATTGGTGACAAAGAAATTTGGGGAAAAGGTATGTGAATGGACCTCTCTGAGTGGTCAAAAACTGTGAAGATATTTGTATCCCATGTGAGTGCTCACCAACGGCTGGCCTCAGCAGAGGAGGATTTTAATAAACAAGTGGATAGGATGACTCGTTCTGTGGACACCACTTAGCCTCTTTCCCCAGCCACCCCTGTCATCACCCAATGGGCCCATGAACAAAGTGGCCATGGTGGCAGGGATGGAGGTTACACATGGGCTCAGCAACAGGGACTTCCACTCACCAAGGCTGACCTGGCTACAGCCACTGCTGAGTGCCCAATTTGCCAGCAGCAGAGACCAACACTGAGCCCTTGATATGGCACCATTCCTCAGGGTGATCAGCCAGCTACCTGGTGGCAAGTTGATTATATTGGACCTCTTCCATCATAGAAAGGGCAGCGATTTGTCCTCACTGGAATAGACACTTACTCTGGATATGGGTTTGCCTATCCTGCACACATTGCTTCTGCCAAGATTACCATCTGTGGACTCACAGAATGCCTTATCCACCATCGTGGTATTCCACACAGCATTGCCTTTGACCAAGGCACTCACTTTACGACTAAAGAAGTGCAGCAGCGGGCTCATGCATATGGAATTCACTGGTCTTTACATGTTCCCCATCATCCTGAAGCAGCTGGATTGATAGAATGATGGAATGGCCTTTTGAAGTCACAATTACAATGTCAACTAGGTGACAATACTTTGCAGGGCTGGGGCAAAATTCTCCAGAAGGTTGTGTATGCTCTGAATCAGCATCCAATATATGGTACTGTTTCTCCCATAGCCGGAATTCACAGGTCCAGGAATCAAGGGGTGGAAGTGGAAGTGGCACCACTTACCATCACCCCTAGTGACCCACTAGTAAAATTTTTGCTTACTGTCCCTGTGACATTATGTTCTGCTGGCCTAGAGGTCTTAGTTCCAGAGGGAGGAATGCTGCCACCAGAAGACACAACCACGATTCCATTAAACTGGAAATTAAGATTGACACCGGGACACTTTTTGGGCTCCTCCTACCTTTAAACCAACAATCTAAGAAGGAAGTTACAGTGTTGGCTGGGGTGACTGACCCAGACTCTCAAGATGAAATCAGTCTACTACTCCACAGTGGAGGTAAGGAAGAGTATGCATGGAATACACAAGATCCCTTAGGGTGTCTCTTAGTATTACCATGCCCTGTGTCAATGGGAAACTACAACAGCACAATCCAGGCAGGACTACAAATGGCCCAGATCCTTCAGGAATGAAGGTTTGGGTCACTACACCAGGAAAAAACCACTACCTGCTGAGGTGCTTGCTGAAGGCAAAGGGAATACAGAATGAGTAGTAGAGGAAGGTAGTCATCAATACCAGCTATGAACCACACAACCAGTTGCAGAAATGAGGATTTTAATTGTCGTGAGTATTTCCTCCTTCTTTGTTAAAAACATGTTTGTGCATTTATACATTTGTACTAAGAAAATATCTTCATTTTATTTCCTTTCTTGTTTATCATGTGACATAAGATTTATTGACTTCATATGAAAATTTAAATGTTAACTTTATGTAATAGCATTTGGGTTGGGAATTGGTGCATTCTTGGTTGTATGAAGGATAGTTGTATCATGTTGGGAATAATTATGACCTTATTATTGTCTTAATTTGAAGATTATCTATAATTTCAGGAGGTGTGTATGGGTTCAAGTTGACAAGGGGAGGACTTGTGATGGTTAATACTGAGTGTCAACTTGATTGGATTGAAGGATGCAAAGTATTGTTCCTGGGTGTGTCTGTGAGGGTGTTATCAAAGGAGACTAACATTTGTGTCAGTGGACTGGGAAAGACACACTTACTCTCAGTCTGGGTGGGTGCGATCTAATCAGCTGCCAGTGCAGCCAGAATAAAAGCAGACAGAAGAACGTGGAGAGATTAGACTGGCTTAGCCTCCCAGCCTACATCTTTCTCCCATGCTGGATCTTCCTCCCCTTGAACATCGGATTCCAAGTTCTTCAGCTTTGGGACTCAGATTGGATTCCTTGCTCCTCAGCTTGCAGATGGCCTATTGTTGGGCCTTGTGATTGTGTGAGTTAATACTCCTTAATAAACTCCCCTTTATATACACATCTAGCCTATTAATTCTGTCCCTCTAGAGAACCCTGACTAATACACTTCGGAATATACTTAACCAAGGAGGTGAAAGATCTCTACAAGGAAAACTACAAAACACTGCTGAAGGAAATCATAAATGACACAAACAAATGGAATATGTTCCATGTTAATGGATGACAGGAATCAATACTGTGAAACTGACCATACTGTCAAAAGCAATCTATAGATTCAATGCAATTCCCAGCAAAATATCATTATCATTCTTCACATGACTAGAAAAACACAATCCTAAAGTTCATATGGAACCAAAAAAGAGCCCACATCCCCAAGGCAATACAAAACAAAAAGAAGAAATCTGAAGGCATCACATTACCTGACTTTAAATTATACTAAAAGGCTGTAGTTATCAAACCAGCATGGTACTGGTATAAAAATAGGCACACAGACCTATGAAACAGAACAGAGAACCAGAAATATAGTCAAATACTTACAGCCAACTGATCTTCAACAAAGCATACAAACACAAAGTGTGGAAAGGACACCTTATTCAAGAAATGGTACTGGGATAACTGCCAAGCCTCATGTGGAAGAATGAAACTGGATCCTCATCTCTCACCTTACACAAAAATCAACTCAAGATGGATCAAAGACTTAAATCTAAAACCTGAAACCATGAAAATTCTAAAATATAACAGCAGAAAAACTCTTCTAGACATTGGCTTAGGCAAACAATTCATGACTGAGAACCCAAAAGAAAGTGCAACTACAACAAAAATAAATAAATGGGACCTAATTAAACTAAAAAGCTTCTGCATAGAAAAGAATTAGCAAAGTAAACAGACAACCCACAGAGTGGGAGAAAATAGTCACAAATTCTGCATCAGACAAAGGACTAATATCCAGAACCTACAAGGAAGTCAAACAAATCAGTAAGAAAAACAAATCCCATCAAAAAGTGAGCTAAGGACATAAACAGACAATTCTCAGAAGAAGATATGAAACATATAAAAAAATGCTCAACATCACTAATTATCAGGAAAATGCAAATTAAAACAATAATGTGATACCATCTTATTCTTGCAAAAATGGTCATAATAAAAAAATAATAGATGTTGGCCAGAATGTGGTGAAAAGGGAACAATTTTACACTGCTGGTGGGAATGTAAACTAGTACAACCACTATGGAAAACAGTGTGGAGATTCCTTAAAGAACTAAAAGTAAAACTACTATTTGATCCAGCAGTCCCACTACTGGGTGTCTACCCAGAGGAAAAAAAAGTCATTATATGAAAAAGATACTTGAACACACAAGTTTATAGCAGCACAATTCACAATTGTAAAAATTTGGAATCAGACCAAATAGCCACCAATCAACAAGTGTATAAAGAAATTGTAATATACATATATATAAAATATATGTATTATATATATAATACACCATGGAATACTACTCAGCCATAAAAAGGAATGAAATAATGGCATTCTCAGCAACCTGGATGGAACTGGAGACCATTATTCTAAGTGAAGAAACTCAGGAATGGAAAACCAAACACCACATGTTCTCATTCATAAGTGGGAGCTAAGCTATGAGGATGCAAAGGCATAAGTATAATACAATGGACTTTGGGGACTTAGGGGGAAAGGGTGGGAAGGGGGTGAGGAATAAAAGACTACAAACTGGGTGCAATGTATACTGCTCGGGTGATGGGTGCACCAAAATCTCAGCAATGACCACTAAAGTAGTTATTCATGTAACCAAATACTGTTCCCCAAAAACCCATTGAAATAAAAAAATTAAAAAGTTAAATTATACCATTATTTTTTAAAGTGTATCATATTTGTAGCTGTTACATTGTGAATAGACCAAAAATCAACAAATAATTTTCCAGTATTTAAGAGGTATTATCCAATGCAGCAAGGAAGTCACATCATTGACAAACAGGTCAAGATTCAATGTCTTTGTCATTTTACTCTATATTATTTGTTAAGATAAATGAAAATACCAACAGACATTCATGTGAGAACTATACTTGTCAATTACAACCATAGATAGTTTATGGATAGAAAAGTTCAGCAAAAATCAAGGGAAACATTCTGTAATAATTGATAATAGGGAGAATTGTATATTTTATTACTATTTTAAACTATTTACCAAACATCTTTTATATCAGTTAAATTTATAATATATGTATATGGTATATGCATACATATGCATGCACATTCATGTGTATTAAGCATTTATCAGGCCAACACCAGCTAGACAGCTCCCAATTCCACTTATTAGAAAAGTTTCTTGCTCTAGTTTAAAGTGAACAACACAATAGAACTATTATCTATGGTACCTGCTCAGAACTATAATGCAAGGAATAATATTTTAAGTTTGATCAGATGAATTCCACTGATACATATTGTGCTGAATTTTTCCTGACTGCACTACTGTTTCTAGAAGTAACCACAATCCTCCCTATATTTTTGAAAAACTTGTTTTTTAAAATGCATCCTTTCCTCAATAAAAATGCTGTCTTTATTGTATACTAAATTTCCTAATGCACAATGAGACACTACCTCACTCCTGCAAGAATTACTATAATTTAAAAATCAAAAAGTAATAGATGTTGGCATGAATGTGGTGAAAAGGACACTCTTTTATACTATTGGTGGGAATGTAAACCAGCACAACCACTATGGAAAACAGTTTGGAGATTTCTTAAAGATTTAGAAGTAGAGCTATTATTTGATCCAGCAATGCCACTATCAGGTATCTACCCAAAGGAAAAGAAGTCATTACATGAAAAAGACACATGTGCAAGCCATGTTGATAGCAGCACAATTCACAATTGCAAAAATATGGAACCAACCTAAATGCCCATCAGCCAACAAGTGGATAAAGAAAATGTGGTATATATACACCATGCAATACTACTCAGCCATAAACTAAATAAAATAATAGCTTTTGCAGCAGCTTGGGTGGACCTGGACGCCATTTTTCTAAGTGAAGTAACTCAGAAATCGAAAACCAAATATTGTATATTCTCACATACAAGTGAGAGCTAAGCTATGAGAATGCAAAGACATAAGAATGATATAATGGATTTGGGGGACTTGGAGGGAAGGGTGGGAGGGGAGTGAAAGATAAAAGACTACACATATTAGGTACGGTGTACACTGCTTGGGTGACAGGTGCACCAAAATCTCAGAAATCACCACTAAATAACTTACCCATGTAACTGAAAACGACCTGTTTCCCAAAACTATTGAAATCTTAAAAACCCTCAAAAATCTGGGTATAGAAGGAACATACCTCAACATAATAAAAACCATATATGACAGACTCACAGCTAGTATCATACTGAGCAGGCAAAAACTCAAAGCCTTTTCTCTAGGATCTAGAATATGACAAGGATGCCCACTTTCACCACTGTTATTCAACATAGTATTCAACATAGTACTCTTAGCTAGAGCAATTAGACAAGAGAAAGAAATAAAGGGCTTCCTAGGCCAGGCGAAGTGAGTTACACCTGTAATCCCAGCACTTTGGGAGGCTGAGGCAGGAGGATTGCTTGAGCCCAGGAGTTCGAGACCAGCCTGGGCAACAAAGCAAGTCCTCATCTCAAAAAAAAAAAAAAAAAAGAAAGAGAGAGAGAGAGAAGACATAAAGGACATCCAAATTAGAAAGGAAGAAATCAAATTATCCTTGTTTGCAGATGATATAATCTCAGTTTTAAAAAAATCTAAAGACTCCAAAAAACTATTAAAACAATAAATTCAGTAAAGTTGCAGGATACAAAATCAACATACAAAAATTAGTAGTATTTCTATATGTCCCAACAGTGAACAATCTGAAAATGAAATTAAAAAGTAATCCCATTTACGATAGCCACGAATAAAACTAAATATACCTAGGAATTAACCAAAGAAGTGAAAGATCTCCACAATGAAAAATATAAAATGCTGATGAAAGAAATTGAAGAGGACACAAAAAAATGGAAAGATATTGCATGTTTATGGACTGGAAGAATCAATATTGTAAAAATGTTCATACTACCCAAAGTAATCTACAAATTCAATGCAATCCCTGTCAAAATACCATGGACATTCTTCACAGAAATAGAAAAGACAATCTGAAAATGTATATAGAACTACAAAATACCCATAATACCTAAAGGTATCTTGAGCAAAAAGAACAAAACCGGAAGAATCACATTACCTGACTTCAAATTATACCATAGAGATATAGTAACCAAAACATCATGGCACTGGCATAAAAACAGACACATAGATGAATGGAACAGAATAGAGAACCAAAAAACAAATCCACATATCTATAATGAACTCATTTTCGATGAAGGTGCCAAGAACATAAACTCGAGAAAAGACAGTCTGTGCTGGGAAACTAGATATCCATATGCAGAGGAATGAAACTAGACCCCTATCTCTCACCATATACAAATATTGAATTAAAATGGATTAAAGACTTAAATCTAAGACATCAAACTATAAAACGACTACAAGAAAACATTGGGGAAACTCTCCGGAACATCAGTCTGGGCAAAAATTTCTTGAGTAATACCCCACAATCACAGGGAACCAAAGGAAAAAAATGGATATATGGGATCACATCAACTTAAAAACCTTCTGCACAGAAAAGCAAACAATCAACAAAGTGAAGAGACAACCCACAGATTGAGAGAAAATATTTACAATCTACCCATCTAACAAGTGATGAATAACCAGAATGTAGAAGGAGCTCAAACAACTCTATAGAAAAAAAAATCTAATAATCTAATTTTAAAATGGGCAAAAGAGTTGAATAGATGTTTCTCAAAAGAAGACATACTAATAGCAAACAGGTATAGGAAAAGATACTCAACATCACTGATAATCAGAGAAATGCAAATCAAAACTACAATGAGATATCATCTTACCACAGTTAAAATGGCTTTTATCCAAATGACAGGCAATAAAAAATGCTGGAGAGGTGAAAAAAAGGGAAACTTTGTACATTGTTGGTGGGAATGTAAATTAGTACAAGCACTATGGAGAACAGTTTGGAGTTTCCTCAAAAAGCCAAAAATAGAGCTACCAAGTGATCCAGAAATCCCACTGCTAGGTAGGATTTCCTTTCTTTCCAAAAGAACGGAAATCAGTATATTGAAGAGATAACTGCACTCCCATTGTTCATTGCAGCAGTGTTCACAATAGCCAAGATTTGGAAGCAATCTACATGTCCATCATCAGATGAACGGGTAAAGAAAATGGGCCGGTGCCGTGGCTCACGCCTGTAATCCCAGCACTTTGGAAAGCCGAGGTGGGCAGATCACCTGAGGCTGGGAATTTGAGACCAGTCTGACCAACATGGAGAAACTCCGTGTCTACTAAAAATAAAAAATTAGCCGGCCGTGGTGGCACGTGCCTATAATCCCAGCTACTTGGGAGGCTGAGGCAGGAGAATCGCTTGAACCCAGGAGGCAGAGGTTGCGGTGAGCCAAGATTGCGCCACGGTACTCCAGCCTGGGCGACAAAAGTGAGACTGTCTAAAAAAACAGAAAAGAAAGTGTGGTACATATACACAATGGAGTACTATTCAGCCATAAAAAAAACAAGATCCAGTCATTTGCAACAACCTGGATGAAACTGGATGTCATTATAAGTGACATAAACCAGGCACAGAAAGACAAATATCGTATGTTCTTACTTATTTGTGGTACCTAAAAATCAAAACAAGGCCAGGTATGGTGGCGCATGCTTGTAACTGCAGCACTTTTGGAGGCTGAGGTTAAAGGATCACTTGAGCCCAGGAATTCAAGGCCAAACTGGGTAACAAAGTGAGACCTCATCTCTACAAAAAAAATCAAAAAAGTAGCTGGGCATGGCAGCACATGCCTGTGGTCCCAGCTATTCAGGAGGCTGAGGCAGGAGGATTGCTTGAGCCCAGGATGTCAAGGCTGCACTGAGTTCTGTTAATACCACTGCACTCCAGCCTGGGTGACACAGCAAGACCTGTCTCAAAAAGGAAAAACAAAACAAAATATTGGATTCACAGCCGAATTATACCAGAGGTAAAAGGAGGAACTGGTACCATTCCTTCTGAAACTATTCCAATCAATAGAAAAAGAGGGAATCCTCCCTAACTCATTTTATGAGGCCAGCATCATCCTGATACCAAAGCCGGGCAGAGACACAACCAAATAAGAGAATTTTAGACCAATATCCTTGATGAACATTGATGCAAAAGTCCTCAATAAAATACTGGCAAACCGAATCCAGCAGCACATCAAAAAGCTTATCCACCATGATCAAGTGGGCTTCATCCCTGGGATGCAATATATGCAAATCAATAAATGTAATCCAGCATATAAACAGAACCAAAGACAAAAACCACATGATTATCTCAATAGATGCAGAAAAGACCTTTGACAAAATTCAACAACCCTTCATGCTAAAAACTCTCAATAAATTAGGTATTGATGGGACATATCTCAAAATAATAAGAGCTATCTATGACAAACCCACAGCCAATATCATACTGAATGGGCAAAAACTGGAAGTATTCCCTTTGAAAACTGCCACAAGACAGGGATGCCCTCTCTCACCACTCCTATTCAACATAGTGTTGGAAGTTCTGGCCAGGGCAATTAGGCAGGAGAAGGAAATAAAGGGTATTCAATTAGGAAAAGAGGAAGTCAAATTGTCCCTGTTTGCAGAAGACATGATTGTATATCTAGAAAACCCCATTATCTCAGCCCAAAATCTCCTTAAGCTGATAAGCAACTTCAGCAAAGTCTCAGGATACAAAATCAATGTACAAAAATCACAAGCATTCTTATACACCAATAACAGACAAACAGAGAGCCAAATCATGAGTGAACTCCCATTCACAACTGCTTCAAAGAGAATAAAATACTTAGGAATCCAACTTACAAGGGACGTGAAGGACCTCTTCAAGGAGAACTACAAACCACTGCTCAATGAAATAAAAGAGGATACAAAGAAATGGAAGAACATTCCATGCTCATGGGTAGGAAGAATCAGTATCGTGAAAATGGCCATACTGCCCAAGGTAATTTACAGATTCAATGCCATCCCCATCAAGCTACCAATGACTTTCTTCACAGAATTGGAAAAAACTACTTTAAAGTTCATATGGAACCAAAAAACAGCCCGCAACACCAAGTCAATCCTAAGCCAAAAGAACAAAGCTGGAGGCATTATGCTACCTGACTTCAAACTATACTACAAGGCTACAGTAACCAAAACAGCATGGCACTGGTACCAAAACAGAGACATAGATAAATGGAACAGAACAGAGCCCTCAGAAATAACGCCGCATATCTACAACTATCTGATCTTTGACAAACCTGAGAAAAACAAGCAATGGGGAAAGGATTCCCTATTTAATAAATGGTGCTGGGAAAACTGGCTAGCCGTATGTAGAAAGCTGAAACTGGATCCCTTCCTTACACCTTATACAAAAATTAATTCAAGATGGATTAAAGACTTAAACGTTAGACCCAAAACCATAAAAACCCTAGAAGAAAACCTAGGCATTACCATTCAGAACTTAGGCATGGGCAAGGACTTCATGTCTAAAACACCAAAAGCAATGGCAACAAAAGCCAAAATTGACAAATGGGATCTAATTAAACTAAAGAGCTTCTGCACAGCAAAAGAAACCACCATCAGCGTGAACAGGCAACCTACAAAATGGGAGAAAATTTTCGCAACCTACTCATCTGACAAAGGGCTAATATCCAGAATCTACAATGAACTCAAACAAATTTACAAGAAAAAAACAAACAACCCCATCAAAAAGTGGGCAAAGGATATGAACAGACACTTCTCAAAAGAAGACATTTATGCAGCCAAAAGACACATGAAAAAATGCTAATCATCACTGGCCATCAGAGAAACGCAAATCAAAACCACAATGAGATACCATCTCACACCAGTTAGAATGGCAATCATTAAAAAGTCAGGAAACAACAGGTGCTGGAGAGGATGTGGAGAAATAGGAACACTTTTACACTGTTGGTGGGACTCTAAACTAGTTCAACCATTGTGGAAGTCAGTGTGGCGATTCCTCAGGGATCTAGAACTAGAAATACTATTTGACCCAGCCATCCCATTACTGGGTATATGCCCAAAGGACTATAAATCATGCTGCTATAAAGACACATGCACACGTATGTTTATTGTGGCACTATACACAATAGTAAAGACTTGGAACCAACCCAAATGTCCAACAATGACAGACTGGATTAAGAAAATGTGGCACATATACACCATGGAAGACTATGCAGCCATAAAAAATGATGAGTTCATGTCCTTTGTAGGGACATGGTTGAAATTGGAAATCATCATTCTCAGTAAACTATCGCAAGGACAAAAAACCAAACACTGCATGTTCTCACTCATAGATGGGAATTGAACAATGAGAACACATGGACACAGGAAGGGGAAGGGAACATCACACTCTGGGGACAGTTGTGGGGTGGGGGGAGGGGGGAGGGATAGCTTTAGGAGATATACCTAATGCTAAATGACGAGTTAATGGGTGCAGCACACCAGCATGGCACATGTATACATATGTAACTAACCTGCACATTGTGCACATGTACCCTAAAACTTAAAGTATAATAAAAAAATATATTTTTTGAACCCATGGAGATAGACAGTAGAAGAATGGTTAACAAAGGCTAGAAAGTTTAGTGGGGTGTGGACAGAAAGTGGAGATTTTTAATGAGGATAAAAAATAGAAAAAATGAATAAGACATAGTATTTGACAGCAGAATAGGGTGACTATGGTCTAAATAATTTAGTTGTATATTTAAAAATAACTAAAAGAGCATAACTGGTTTGTTTGTGCAAAGAATAAATGTTTAAGGGAATGGCCATTCCATTTTCCATGATGTGATTATTGTGCATTGCATGCTTGTATCAAAATGTCTCATATACCCCATAAATATGTACACTTATTATGTACCCATAAAATTAAAAAATAAAAACAACTATGAACAGAGTAAACAGACAACCTACAGGATGGGAGAAAATATCAGCAAACTATGCATCCAACAAAGGTCTAATATCCAGAATCTATAAGGAACTTAAACAAATTAACAAGCAAAAAACAAACAACCTCATCAAAAAATGGGCAAAGGGCCGGGCACAGTGACTCATGCCTGTAATACTAGCACTTTGGGAGGCCAAGGCAGGTGGATCACTTAAGACCAGGAGTTCGAGACCAGCCTGGCCAACACGTCAAAACCCCATCTCTACTTAAAATACAAAAAAAAAAAAGAAAAATAGCTGGGCTTTGTGGTGTGTGCCTGCACAGTCCCAGCTACTCAGGAGGCTGAGGCAGGAGAACCGCTTGAACCCAGGAGGTGGAGGTTGCAGTCACACCAGTCAGAATGGCTATTACTAAAAAGTCAAAAATAACAGATGCTGGTGAGGTTGCAGAGAAAAGGGAATGCTTATACACTGCTGGCGGGAATATAAATTAGTTTAGCCACTGTGGAAAGCAGTTTGAAGATTTCTCAAAGAACTTACCATTCAAGCCAGCAAATCCCATAACTGTGTACATAACCAAAGGAATATAAGTCATTCTACTATAAAGACACATGTATGTGTATGTTCATCATGGCACTATTCACAATAGCAAAGACAGAGAATAATCCTAAATGCCCATCAATGGTGCACTGGATAAATAAAATGCAGTACATTGGCCAGGCACAGTGGCTCACGCCTGTAATCCCAGCATGTTGGGAGGCCGAGGCAGGCGGATCACCTGAGGTCAGGAGTTCGAGACCAGCCTGGCCAACATGGAGAAACCCTGTCTCTACTTAAAATACAAAAATTAGCTAGGCCTGGTGACAGGCACCTGTAATCCCAGCTACTCGGGAGGCTGAGGCAGGATAATTGTTGAGCCCGGGACGCGGAGGTTGCAGTGAGCCGAGATCGCGCCATTGCACTCCAGCCTGGGGTACAAGAGTGAGACTTTGTCTGAAAAAAATACAATACAATACAATACAGTATTGTACATATACGTCATTGAATACTATGCAGCCATAAAGAAAGAAAAAGATCATGCCCTTTGCAGCCCATTGAATGGAGGTGCAGGCCATTATCCCAAGTGAATTAATATAGAAACAGAAAACCAAATACTACATGTTCTCACTTATAAGTGGGAGCTAAAAAAGAATGTGAAAAGACAACACCCTCAATGAGAAAATCTTTGCAAATTATATATCTAATAAAGTAATTGCATCTAGAATATATAAAGAACTCTTACAACTCAACAATTGAAAAACGAATAAACCAATTAAAAATTGGGCAAAAGTTCTGAATAGGTATTTCTCCGAAGAGGATAAAGAAATGACCAATAAGCACATGAAAAGAGTCTCAGGAGGAAGCAAAAGAAGGTTATGGGGCTTTTGATGGTGTTGAGAATTGAAGAACTCCAAAAAGTGCCAATAAGTACTCACTGGAAAGCATAGTAAAACAATTTGAGAACAATAGTCATGGGTGGAAGGGGGGAAATCGAAGGTCCTAATTCAATTATCCCTGAGTAAGAAAAAAAAGAAAGCTTTGAAAAGAGAGATGAGAAAACTCAGTAAAATATTAGAAATAAAAGCAAATTCAAAACTTAGCAGAAGGGACTACAAATAGATTGGATTGTGCTAAACCTGTCTTAGCCCTATGAACTTGTCAACTAACAAATGTCTTCTTGTAGCAAAAACCCCTATACTGAGGAGGAACTGATAGGAATTGAGTCCATATGAAGCAGAATGGTGTGGGTGGGGGACAATTAAACAAAGGAAAAAGGTCCAAGTAAAAAGGGTAAAGGATGTCACAAAGTAAGACATTAAAAAATTATATTTTTATCATTTCATGACAATAGCTGAATAGAAATCTATAGAGCAACAAAGATAGGAAAATTATCCTGGTCTGTTTCTTCTAAAATTATGGGGGAGCACTTTTCATATAAAAATGAGCATAAGAAAAGGATTATGGGCAAATCTGATATAAAATTATTTTTAAAGGAGAGGACAAATAATTACACTAAAGGAAATAAATACACACAAGAAAAAAAATTCCACAAATTGCTACGTAATATTTGAAAACAACTTAAACATTTTTAGAAAATAATGAAAAGCTATGCAAGAATACACAAATCAGAATTAGAGAGACTCAGTAATGATATGATTGGAGAAGAAAAGCTTTGAAAAGAGAGATGAGAAAACTCAGTAAAATATTAAAAAAAAGGAAAATAATTTTTTCAGAAGTAAACACTAAACCAGAAGGCACATAACAGCATATAAACACTATGGATAATGCCTAAAGAAAACTATAAGATGAAAACAAGAATAAAAAGTAAAATATTTTTTAAAAAAGAGCTAGGTAGGATTTAGGAGTGTTAGCTACAAAAGAAAAGCAAAGAATATCTAATACAAATATAATTGGAGCCATTGAAGAAGAAATCTGAAGTAATAAAACAGAAGAAATACTAAAATCTATAATTTAAGAAAACTTTCCAGGAAAATAAACTTCAAAAATACTTGTAAATAAGCTACCACTTGTAAAGAAAAGAAAATTACATTGTCATTCAACATCTTTAAAATGAGAATATAATAGCATAGAAAAAATATATAACTATGGAAAGAAAGTCAAAATCAGGGATAATTACATAGAAGGGAATTATTTCAAGTTATTTGAAACTTCTCATCTGCAACACCAGGAGCTAGAAGATACTGGAATAAAATAAATGTATTTAAAAATCAATTCAACAGAGGACTTACATTACCAGTATGCAGAACTGGTAATTTGAACCAACCATACAATTGGAGATATTTTAAAATTATAAAAGTATCTAATGACTAATAAAGTCATGCAGAATTAACAGGTAGAGATTCTGAAAAAGACCACAAATTCAGAAGGTAAAGTAACTTTCTGGCCACTTTGGATCTGGGTTGTTTCTATACAAGAGGTAGGGCATCAGGATGGCTGAGTAGTCTACGGTACCAGACTCAAGACAAGGAGGGAATTCTAAAAACGGTAAAAGAAAAGTGACAAGTCACCTATAAGAAAATTCCCATCAGACTAACAGCAGATTTCTCAGCAGAAGCTTTACAGGCTAGGATAGAATGAGATGATATATCCAAAGTGCTGAAATTTTTTAAAACTATCAGCCAAAAATACTATACCAAGCAGAGCTATACTTCAGAAATGAAGGAGAAATAAAGTATTTCCCAAACAAGCAAAAACTGAGGAAGTACACTACAACTAGATAAGTCCTACAAGAAATACTTAAAGGAGTTCTACAACTGCTTTTTTTTTCTTTTTTGTGAAGAACAGGGTCTTGCTATGTTGCCCAGGCTGGTCTTGAACTCCTGGCTTCAAGCGATCTTCCTGCCTCTGCCTCCCTAAGTGCTGGGATTACAGGCATGAGCCACTGTCCCATAAATGCTGTTGGTGGGCATGTAAATTAGCACTGCCACTAAGGAAAACAGTATGGGAGTCCCTCAAAAAACTACAAATAGAACTACCATATCATCCAGCAATTCCACTATTGGGCATTTATCCAAAGAAAAGGAAACCAGTATGTCAAAGTGATACCTGCACCTCCCATACTTACTGCAGCACTATTCACAATAGCTACTATGTGGAATCAACCTCAATATCCATCAACAGATGAGTGGATAAAGAAAATGTGGTGTATATGCACAACGGAATATTATCCAGCCATAAAAAAGAATGAAATCCTGTTATTCATGGCAGTATGGCTGAGCCTGGAGGGCATATGTTAAGTGAAATAAGTCAGGCACAGAAAAATAAATACATGTTCTCACTTATACGGCAGCTACAAAATTTTATTGAGCTCATGGAAGTAGTATTGTGCTTATCAGAGGCTGGGAAGGGTGAAGGAAAAGGAGGATGGGGAAAGGTTGGTTAATGGATACGAAATTATAGCTACACAGGAGGAATGGGTTGTGGTGTTTTGCAGCACTGTAGCACTGTAGGATAAATATGGTTAACTATAATTTCTTACATATTTTCAAGAAGCTAGAAGAGTGGATTTTAAATGTTCACCATGCAAAAATGGTAAATGTTTGAGATTATGAATATGCTAATTACCCTGATTTTATTATTATACATTGTATATATGTATCAAAATGTCACTCTGTATCCTATAAATATGTACAATTATTATGTACCAACTGGAAATAAAAGGAAAAAAATAGGTGAATGAATACTGAGATATACTTTTGACAGTCTCCAAGGACTAGAGAAACAAAAGTCAGAATCCTGAGTCTACCAGTCATGGTGGAACTTCTTAAACAATCTCTCATGTTTGGCTAGGAAACTGAATAACCGTACTTAAAGAATACATGTAAATTTTAGATAATGAGGTTTTATCTAGAATACCTGAAGCTTGAAATAGATTAAGATTACCCATGATTGCTAGTGCCCCAAGATGCCTGGCAAAAGTCAATTAAAATCCATTCTGGAGAAAGAAAATGTTATAAGCCCCAAATTATTTCCAGGAAGAAGTGTTTAATACAACTTTCAGCACAAAATCAAAGATAACCAGGTTTATGTGGAGACAAAACACCATAAAGATACAATTTTAAAACACACCACAGGAATAGACCCATGAGGATCCCAGTTACTGGACATATCAGAAATAGACGCTAAAACCATGAGCTTATTGTGTTCCAGATATAAATGCCAAGCTTGAAAGTTTCGAGAGGAAACTAGAAATTATACAAAGTAACAATAAATTTGAAAAAGAATAAATAAAAGTATCTTAGACCATTTGTGCTGCTATAACAGAATGCCACAGACTGAGTAATTTATGAGAACGGAAATTTACTTCTCACAATTCTGGAGCCTAGGGGAAGTCCAAGATCAAGGCACCAGCATCTGGTGAAGATCTTCTTGCTGCATCGTCACATGACAGAGCCAAAAGCATAAGAGAGGGACAGGCTCCTTCCATCAAGTCCTTTTACAGTGCCGTTAATTTATTCATGAGGGCAGATCCCTCATAATCTAAACATTTCCTGAAATTCCCCACCTCCCAACACTGTTGTATAAGGGATTGAATTTTCAACACATGAATTTGGGGGTACAAATTCAGACAACAGCAAGAAGAGAGAATTATTAAACTTTAAGGTGGGTGAACTATCCACAATAAAGCCCAAAGAGCAAAAGGTGTTAAAATAAAAGGTAGAAATAGATGGGATAGAGTAATAAGATTAAAATATGTTTAATTAGAGTACTAAAATAATACTATAGAAATACAATGGAACAGAAGCAACATTGGAGAACATTATAGCTGAGGATATGCTCAAAGTGATGTAAAGGCATTAATTCACAAATTCAAAAATCCTATACAATGGACGTTGGGGACTTGGGGGCAAGAGTGGGGGGTGGCGAGGGATAAAAGATTGCAAATATGGTGCAATGTATACTGCTCAGGTGATGGATGCACCAAAATCTCACAAATCACCACCAAAGAACTTACTCATGTAATCAAATACCACCTGTACCCCCAATAACTTACGGAAAAATTAAAAATTAAAAAAAATCCTACTGAATCCAGAACAGGATGATTATAAAGACACAGCATGGTAAAACTGCAAAATATCAGACACACAGAAAATCTGAAAAGCAGCCAAAGGAAAATAAACAGAATACCTTTAAAGGAATGACATTTAGATTGACAGCTAAATTCTTGACAGCAACAATGGAAACCAGTAGACACTGGAATAATATTTACTATGTGCTGTGGGGGTCACACCTAAGATTATACCCTCAGAAAAAATGCTTTTCAATAATTATGATGAAATAAAGACATTTTCAGAAAAACAAAACCTGAAATCATTCCTCACCAGCATCTTTGGACTAAAGGAAACTCTCAAATTATTCTAACATGGAAAGACAATAATCCCTGATGAAAGGTCAGAGGGGCAAGAAGTAAGGAAGAGAAACAAAACTGGTAAATATGTAAGTACATTTAAAACAATGTTGATTGTATAAAATAATACTAATATCTTATGGGGTTTTAAAATATTTTTAAAGCATGACAGAAATAGTATATAAGTCAAAAGGGATTAAAAAGATTTTAAAAATGTAAGGTCCCTGCATTTCCCAGAAGGAGGAAGGGTTTCAGTTAACTTTTGATTTTGATATATCAAGGATACATGCTTAATTTTCTAGGGTAAGCACTAGCTATTCGGAAAAGGGCTTCCAAATAATACAGAAGGAAATGGAACAATAAAAAGTACTCAGTCATTTCAAAAGAAGATCAACAAAGGAAGGAAATAGAGACATAAAAATGGTGAGACAAAAATAACGCACAAAAAATTGAAATATTTGTGCCTAAAGATATCACTAGGTATTGTAAATATAAACTAAATAAATATTCAAGTTAAAATTTATAGATTATCTAAGAAAGAGTACTTGTTCAGGTTATCCATTGCTATATAGTAAACCATCCCAACTACCTAATATCTTAAAACAACTTAATATTACCTCTCCTGGTTCTGACTCAACTGAGTGGTTCTTGCTTGCAATCAGGTGCAGTAGTGTACTGGTAAATGCTTAACAACTAGGTCTCTGGGAAAAAAGAAAAACAAAAAACTCTGTTTTGTAGCATTTGCCTATTTCTGTGGCAGAAATACTCCTACCATGGCCAATTTCAAGCTACCAAAGTGACATCATTGAATCCAGAGTTGGGAATAAATTTGCATTATCAGTTCTCATAAGCCAGTAAAAGAGCCAGCTCCAACACACTACAGTCACCTGAAGCCTTCTACATTTTTCTGGCACCTAAGCTTGGAAAGCTAAGACAACTGGAGACTGGATAGTAATTTTTCTATCCATTTGGCTTCTCACAAGTCCAGCTTGAGCTTCTTTACAGTATGACAATCTCAAGGTAGTCAGAATTCTTACATGGTGGCAGGCTTCCCCCAAAACAAATATTCTCAGAGACCAAAGCATACTGTAAGACTTCTTATGACCTGACTTCATAAATCCCAGAATGTTACTTCCAATATTAAGACCAGTCAAAGTTCAAGGAAAGAAAAATTAGACTCTGCTACTCAGTGAGACAGTAGCAAAGAACTTGTGGAATATGCCCATAATACTAAAAGGTTTAAAATAAAAGGCTGGGAAGAGGACATCTCCTGCAAACACAAATGAAAAGAAGAGAAATGAATCAGTATAATTAATATAAAAATATTTCAAAGCAAAAACAAAAATCAGAAAGCAGAATTCTGAAGAAAAGTAAATTAGACAGGAAGCAAAAATAATATCAAGAATGGAAAGGGAAATATCACTATAGATTCTGTAGAAAGTATGAGCATATAACTGAAAATTTAGATTAAACAGGAAAATACCTGAAAAAATATTATCTACGTAACTGACTCGAGTAAATTAAACTCTGAATGGTCCTTATACTATTAAAATTGAGTCAGTAATCAGAAATATTCCCACCAATCAAAATCCTGATACAGATAACTTCAACAGTGAGTTCTCCAATCAAATAAGAAGTAATTCAAAGATTATACAAACTTTTACAGGAAACAGAAAATTTTCTGGAAGTTTTCAAAGACTATTCTTCTTTGTTAAGTATTCAAGTTATGCTAGATTCTTATTTATAACTTGAATACTTAACAAAGAAGAAATTAGGAAGAAAAACTAGGACATATCAGTATCACCTGGAATAAAGATGAAAAAATTGTTTTGAAAATTTAACAAAATAAGTAGTATATTAAAAGGATTATAAATTATAATCAAATTACGGTTATCCAAGGAAGTAGAGGTTGGTTTGCCATAAGAAAATCATAAATCATAAATTCAACACATTAACATTGCCAAAGAAAAAATTTATACCTCCCTCAAAAGATGCAGATAAAATATTTGATAACATTAAACCTCAATTCTAATGTTTTAATTTTTATGTTGAGACATGGTCTCACTCTGTCACCAGGCTGCAGTGGAGTGATGTGATCACAGATCACAGATCACTGATCAACCTCCCCAGATCAGGCTATCCCTTCAAAATTAAAAAAAAAAGTGGGTAGAATAATTCCTAGAGCTCACAAAGGGCTGGAAATATTTCACATTCCTACCAATCAGAGAAGAGAGACCTCTTAATGCACAGGGCATTAGGTGGTGTCCTCAGGAAAGTATTGCTGTAATAGAAGGCCGAATTAGTGCTACACTAAAAGCTGCTCTGAATGTGTACTAACAAATCTTAAAATGAAGCCTTGAAAGGAATAAATTGGTACTGAGCAACTTAACTTCACGTCAGAACTAAGTCCAAGACTCTTTAAAGCAGAGTTTCTCAACAGTGGAACTACTGACATTTTGAGCTAATTCTTTATTGTTGGGCGGCTGTCCTGTGCACGGTAGGATGTTTGGCAGCAATTGGATGGTGTTTAGCAGCATCTCAGAGCTCCATTATTAGATGCCAGTAGCAATTCCCTAGTTGTAATAACCAAAAATGTATCCAGGCATTGCCAAATTATCTCCTGGGTAGGGGGTAGAGGGGACAAAACTGTTTCTTATCAAGAACTACTGCTTTAAAGGAACACGCACACACATGCACACACACACAAAATCCAGCATCCGACAATGTAAAATTCACAATGTCTAGCATCTTATTAGAGATTACCAGTCATGCAAAACAGCAAGAAAATATATCCATAGAAGAAGATAGATTAAAAGAAGCAAACTAAGGACAAAAATGTTGAAATTAGCAGACAAGAAAGTTAAAACATCTATTATACATGTACTAATATGCTCAAACATATAGATAAAAAGATGACTATTCGGTGGAGACATGTAAAATAAATTTTAAAAGAGACAAAAAGAATCTTATACAGATAAGAAATAAATATGGTCTCTGAAATGAAGAATACACTGTTTAGGATTAACAGATATGATACTACAAAAGGAAAAATTAGTGAACTTGGAAAATATGTCAATAAAAGATATTCAAAATGAGGCACAGAGAAAGAAATGGACAAAAATAAAGAACGCTTCAATGACCTGTGTCATTGTAACATATGTGTTACTGGAGTCTCAGAAAGGATGGAAGGAAAGAAAAAACTATTAGAAGAAGTATGGTTGATTTTTTCCTGAATTTGATGAAAATGATAAATCCACAGATCCAAGAATATCAACAAACCCCAACAGACTAACATAAAGAAAACCATACTAAAGCACATCACAATCAATCTGCAAAAGTCAGGATAAAAAGAAAAGTTTTAACAGTAACCATGAGGGGTGGGGAGAGGAAGACTCATATATAAAAAAGCAAACATCTTATTAGAAACTATGCAAGCCAGAAGACAACTGAATTATATCTTTTAAAAAACTGTCAACTATGCCCAGTGAAAATACTTTTTCAAAAATAAAAATGAGATAAAGAGCCGGGCGCGGTGGCTCACACCTGTAATCCCAGCACTTTGGGAGGCCGAGCCAGGTGGATCACGAGGTCAGGAGTTCGAGACTATCCTGGCTAACAAGATGAAACCCCATCTCTACTAAAAATACAAAAAATTAGCAGGGCGTGGTGGCGGGCGCCGGTAGTCTCAGCTACTCGGGAGGCTGAGGCAGGAGAATGGCGTGAACCCGGGAGGTGGAGCTTGCAGTGAGCCGAGATCACGCCACTGTACTCCAGCCTGGGCGACAGAGTGAGACTCCGTCTCAAAAAAAAAAAAAGAGATAAAGATATTTCTCAGACAAAAGCTGAGTGAATTTGTTGCCAGAACATATGCACTATAAAAAATATTAAAGAAATTTTTCAGGCAGTAGGAAAGTGATACCAACTGGAAATTTGGATTTACAAAATAATAAATTTCGTTGCTAAATGTCTAATGTGTAGAACATGCCTGGCACATAGAGAACACTCAATAAGTATTTATTAAATGCATTTAATTAATGAATGTTCAATATAGGAGTTGGGAAGACCTTTCTTTTTTTTTTTTTTTTTTTTCAAGACGAAGTCTTGCTCTGTCACCCAGAGCTGGAGTACAGTAGCATGATCTCATCTCACTGCAACCTCCACCTCCCGGGTTCAAGCAATTCTCTTGCTTCAGCCTCCCAAGTAGCTGGGATTACAGGCGCGTGCCACCATGCCTCGCTAATTTTTGTATTTTTAGTAGAGACAGGGTTTCACCATGTTGGCCAGGCTGGTCTCGGACTCCTGATCTCCTGATCCGCCCACCTTGGCCTCCCAAAGTGCTGGGATTACAGGCGTGAGCCACCGTGCCCAGCTGGGAAGACCTTTCTAACTGAATATGCAGACCTTAAAATCCATAAAAGGAAAAAGATATATTTTAATTCATACATTTTAAAAACATTTATATATGACAAAATTAGTACAAACAAATGAATAGAAATAATATAGGAGGAAAACATATTTGTGATGCAGATAATAGATAAGCACACCATGGCATGTACACCTATGTAACAAACCTGCACGTTCTGCACATGTATCCCAGAACTTAAAGTGTAATAAAAAATAAATAAATATAAAAATAATTTTAAAAAATTTTATCTATAAATAGAGATACTTTTATTTATTTCTGAAGTAAAAGTAACAAAATTAGAGAAATGGAGAACAGATTACTGCTTGCCAGCATTAGGCAGGGAAGCAGATGTGGCTATAAAAAGGTGATATCAAGAATCTGGTTGTTACGGAACTATGTTACTTCTTTACTGTATCAATGTCAATATCCAGGTTGTGGTATGGCCCTACGCTTTTGTAAGATGTTACTATTGGGGAAAACTTAGTGAAGAATACATAGCATCTCCCTTTACTATTTCTTTCAACCACATGCGAATCTATAATTATCTCAAAATAAAAATTTTAATTAAAAATGTCAAAAAATAGATAAACAGTTAATATCTATAAGGTACAGAGAACTTTTCCAAACTGAAACTAAAAATTTTTTTTCAATAGAAAAGTAGGCAAATAACTTAATGGATAAATCAAAGAAGATCAAATACAAATCAACAAAATACATATGACAATATGCTCAAATTCACTAATACTATACAGGAATTTAAAATTAAAGTAACAGTGAAATATCATTTCACAGAGATCACATTAGCAGAAAGTAAAACCACTATTGCTTCTTGAGATAGAAAGAGTGCTCATAACTGGTTGGTTCCAAAATACTTGGAAGGCAATCCAGTGACATATTTTATAATTAAAATTATTAATATCTTTGATGCATCAATTCCACATCTGACAATCAATTTCGTAGAAATAACACCAATATTTTGGGAAATATATGAAATGATAGCACAGCATGGTTCATGAAGATAACAGAACACTTGACACAAAGTGATTGCCCATCATTAGGTAAATAATATATAATTGCACACTTACACTGTGGAATACTACACAGCTATTAAAACCATTAGATTTGCAGGGACTGCCAAAAGGTACTTTCAGTCACCAGTACCTTTTGGAAATCCCTTCAAACTTTGGAAAAGAAATAATAACAAAAAGCCTACCAGGTCTCTCTCTATATATGTATATATATATGTATGAGTAATTATCTGAATGCAAATAAAAAATTGAAAGCAGAATCACAAGATATTTTTCATGGGATATATGAGAGGGGAACACTGATGTGCCTAGAGGACAAAAAAGTAGAGACAATCAAAACAGTTTAAAAAAAGAAAGAAAGAAAAGTGCACTTAAAAAAAGCATTTATGTGAAAAGTTATGGGGCTCTTTAAAATAATATCTTGTGGGTATATGTATACATTAAACTAAAAATTTTTTAAATTTAAGATTACGATTAGCCTCATTAAAACAAACATTTTCTAAATGTTTAAGTTCTCACAACGTGAGGAATTTTTTGTAAATGCTCAATTGCAAGATAAATACTTAGAACTATTAAGAATACAACAGAAACAAAATATTCTTGTTTTGCACATTTCATTATGGTTTGTGAGTTAAGATTTCACTCTGAAGGATAATCCAACACATAATGTCCACAGCAGAGTTGTTAAATTCGATAACAACTAGCAAAATTAAAATTAAAGTAAAGAATAATTTGAAATTGGCAGGAAAGATGTCTTAAACAAACAACTGCAAGGAAGGCTAAAGTGTTTACTAAGACAATTTTTTAAAATATAAGCTTACCTCTTTCAAGCATTCTGAGTCCTCCTCCCTCTGGCCTGTTCCCTCTGCAGAACCCAGACAAGGAGGAAGGCTGGGACTGAAGGCCATGAGGTCCGTCTTATGCGGGCCCTCCCCAGAGCACACCCTCGGCCGCCTCTGCTGCGAGTACGACCAACTCCCTGCCGCGCTGGAGCACACTAGAGTGGGCTTGCCCGGCGCGCACGCGCCCTCGGTGGGCGGTGCCGAGCACCGCAGCGCAGTATACAGCAGCAACGTGAGCACCAACAGGCTGGACACCGCGCAGATGGCAATGATCAAGTAAACATTGACATCCACCAGCGCCGCTTCTGGACCCACAGCGCCTGCCGACGCCCTCGACGAAGCCTGTGGCGCTTGGCCGCTCTCCACCAGCGACAACAGCACCGTTGCCGTGGCCGTCAGCGCGGGCTCACCGTGGTCCTTCACCAGCACCAGAAGGCGGTGGTGCGGCGCGTCCACCTCGTCCAGAGGGCGCGTCGTGCTGATCTCGCCAGTGTACAGCCCCACGCGGAACGGGATGCGCGCGCCGACCGCCGCCAGCTGCAATTCATACGAAAGCCACGCATTGTAGCCCGAATCGGCGTCCACCGCGCGCACCTTCGCCACCACGTGGCCTGCACCCACCGACCGCGGCATCAGCTCGCTCACTGTGCCTCCCGCGCTGCCAGCCCCGGGCGTCAGCAGCGCCGGAGCGTTGTCGTTCTCGTCCAGCACGAACACCTGCAGCGTCACGTTGCTGCCCAGAGGCGGCACGCCAGAGTCGCGCGCGCTCACCTGGAACTGCAACAGCTCCAGCTCCTCGTGGTCCAACGGCTGCAGCGCGTACACCTTGCCGCTCTCCGCGTGCACCGACACGTAGCTCGACAGCGCACGCTCGCCCACCCGCCGCTCCACCAGCGAGTAGGAGACCAGCGCGTTCTCCTGTGCGTCCGCGTCCTGAGCAGACACCGTGAAGATGTGGCAGCCCGGCGGATTGTTTTCCTTCACGAACACCGTGTACTCGGGCTGCGCGAACGCCGGCGCGTTGTCGTTCACGTCGGCCACCCCCACCGACACGCTGGCCGTGGCCCACAGCGAAGGCGAGCCCCCGTCCCGCGCGGTCACCACCAGTTCATAGGCTGATACGCTCTCGCGGTCCAGGGCGCTGTCCAGCACTAATGAGTAGTAGTTCTTGTAGGTGGACACCAGCTTGAAGGGGACATGCGGCGTCAAGGTGCAGGTGACCTGTCCATTTGAGCCAGAGTCACGATCGGACACACTGATTAGGGCAATAATGGCGCTAGGCTGAGTGTCTTCTCTGATGGGGAGTGACAAAGAAGTGATGGTAACCTCTGGGGCGTTATCATTTACATCTAGTACTTCCACCAAAAGGGTACAATGACCCGCCATTGGAATATTTCCTTTGTCAACTGCCTCCACGGATATTTCATATAATTTCTTTTCTTCGAAATCTAGTTTGCCTTTTGTCCTAATTTCTCCATTGTTCGGATTTATGGTAAATGCATATACCACTGCAGGCCATACAGGCCTTCTAAATGAGTAAACTATATCTCCATTTGTACCATCATCAGGATCTGTGGCATTTAGCTTGATCACTAATGTTCCATTGAAGGCGTTCTCTAACACCGTCACTTTATAAACGGATTGGTAAAATTCCGGGGCGTTGTCATTCACGTCCAGAATCGTGATGAGCAGCTGAACTGTGCCAGTCAGCTCGGGTTTACCTCCATCACTGGCTGTCAGTAATAAACTATGTTCCTGAATTTCCTCTCTGTCCAGTGTTTTCCTCAGTACAAGTGATAATGAAGACATTTGCTCAAGACTGTTTTGTGCGTCCAAAGTGAAATAATCGTTGGGATCCAGTCGGTAGGTCAATGCCGAGTTTACTCCAATATCTGCATCGGATGCGCCATCTAGTGGAAATCGAGTTTCCGGAGGTCTAGATTCTGCAATGATTATTCGTTTCTTGCTTTCAGGGAATATGGGCGGGTTGTCGTTAATGTCCCTCACCTTCACCTCCACATGGAAAACCTGCAGAGGCCTGTCCACGATCACCTCCAGGTGGATGCTGCACTCCGCGCTCCGCCCACACAGCTCCTCGCGGTCGATCCGAGAATTCACAAACAAAATGCCATTCTGCAGATTTACCTCCAGAAGGTCCCCGTGTCTTTTGGACGCCACCCGGAACAGGCGCGGCACCAGCTCCGCCAGCTCCAGCCCCAGGTCCTGAGCGATGCGGCCCACGAAGGTGCCGTGTTTTGCTTCCTCGGGGACGGAGTAGTGGAGCTGGCCACTACCCGTCTCCCAGGCTGCGAGGATCAGAAGCCAGAGCAGTAGTTGCCGCGGTCTTGGGCCTCCTTGCCAGGAAGACAGCATGGTACACTCCAAAAACCTCAGAGCTATCTGCAATATATACAACGCCTTACCTCAAACTGTCTCTCAAGGCCCAATTTTTATGGCTTCCTAGTGCGGAAGGATTCGCAAGAGGTATTCCGCTTTCTGCTATATTTTCTGCAGGAAGAAAGAAACGGCGGCTTTCTTCGCGGAAACGTTCTCAGTGAAGAGCGACACCATGCGCATGAACGTGTAAGTGTAAGTATGACTCAGTCTTCATATTTTCCATTGATGTAGTATTTTTTTGCCCCTTGCATTTCCTGACATTTTCACTGCAAATATGTAATTGAAGATTAAATGTTTACCTTCCCAGAAACAGCAAATCACTGCATTCTGCTCAACATTTTATATTAGCTGACAATTGGTTGATGAGTTTCATTTTGCCACAAATTTATTTTTCCATGTGTAAGAATTCCATGCAGAACTTTAAGACAAAGAATATTCGACACTCGTTTTGGGACAATTGATCGGTAGTTCTGCATAGTCATGTAGGTTTTTGTGGTACTGTCCTCTTCCTGTAATATTTTTCAAGACCTCCTCACACAACAGCCATTGACTCCAAAAGGAAACATAACAATCACATAAGAATAAAATCGGTGAAGGTGAAAAATATTGGTAACTGATATATCAGATTTTGAATAAGCACATCATATTAATAAATTTCCCTCAATGTGACTTGAGATGTAGATAAGATATTTATATTCAAAAGAAAGTGTTCAGTCAATATGTGTGGGATTTTGTATGTGAGTGTGTGTATGTGCATAAACACAATAATTTAGCCACAACAATGCTCTAAGGTTTTGGATTCTGTTTTTATAAAATATGCCTGGAACTAATATCCTATTGATTTAATAGAATTTAACTTACCGCCGCCGGCTGCAATTCATACGAAAGCCACGCATTGTAGCCCGAATCGGCGTCCTGGTTAAATAGAATTTAACCAGGAGGTTAAAGTTTCCATTTTCTCTCTCCATCTTACTTCATCATCACTGAGTAAAACCTTGCCGTCATTTAAATTGACTTTAATTTTCCAAGAAACAACAGCTAGACAAAGATGTTAACATATCTTTAGCAAGGAAAAGAGGAAGAGGATCTTACTTTTATCTATTGTTATAACTATCTCTACCAAGCCACAAAATCCCAGGCCAAATGGTGTAATGAAAAATATATCATAGCTCCAATAATTATCTGGCCTGTTCTGTGCACAACTCTATAGGAAATGACTGTTGGGTTTATTTCCATAGCTCTGCTCTCCTCTGAAAATTTAGGCAGAGTATTTGGTATTCTCTTACCCTCATCATCCTCTCCTGCTCCATTACTTTTACTAACATAGTATTTCTCTTCTAATTCTTTCTATCTGGCCCTACATTTCTTTATTTACCTCTTCACATAATTAGACTACATAGTCAACCATTTAAAATATGCCCTTCCAGACACTCTAGAGTCATTCACCTATTTATATTACTCCTCTAACATTCTTTTTAGCCTCCAACACGCAGTTACACTGACAATCCATTTTCTCTATGCTTCCTATTAAGCTGCTCAACATTGTCACTTAACCATGACTATTCTCTTCAAATTTACTCTCACCTTTACCTCAGTTGGGCTCTCAAGTGAATTGATAATTAACTCCTCCCTCTTGCTTACAGAGATTCTTCCATATTCTCTTTCCTCTCTTCTCAAATTCTCAACCTCATTTCCATCAGTTCACTTTCAGATGATTCACACATTGAGAGATGTGACCAAACAGAAATTCAATTGCTCTCTTCTTGTGTCATTTTTCCTTATATTATCTGTTTTCATTTTCTACTAGTTGTAAGGAAAAACTGTTCCCGCTTTTAAGGTCAACCATATGCTCTTAAAAATTATTTTCTATTCTCTCATGGTTTTCATCTAAATTCACCTGCTGCCTGTCTTATTTTTAGTATCTTATTTTTTACTTGTTTCTTTCACTCACACTATGAAGATAGTCAAACTTCTTTAACTAAAATATGTATACATACACACACGCACATACACTAATTTAAATGTTCTACTTCTGGTGGAAAACCTCTTCTGTTTATCTTTTTCCCTTCATGTTTAACTTCTAACATATACTTGATATATTGCACTTTGAGCTTTATTTCAGCTTCCTGTTGTCTATCCTTCTATGATTTTAAGCCTACTATAATAGGTTGAATTGTGGTCCCCAAAAAGTTATGCCCACATCTTAATCCCTGGAACTTGTGGATTTTACTTTATATGGTGAATAATATGATTAAGTTAAGGATCTTGAAAGGAGTTTATCCTGGATTATCCAGATGGGCCCTAAATACAATCACATGTACCTTTGTAAAACCAACACATAGAGAGAGACATGGAGAGGAGGAGGCAATGTGACCATGAAAGCTGAGAAGGCTGAGATGGGAGTGGTACAGCCACAAGCCAGGGAACACCAACAGCCAATAGAAACTGGAAGAAACAAAAACCAGATTCTTCCCTGGGGCCTCCAAAGAGAGTATAGCCTTGACAACACCTTGATTTTGGACTTCTGGTCTCCAATACTGAGAAATAATAAACTTTTGCTGTTTTACAGCACCCAGTTTGTGTTCGTTTGTTATAGCAGCCACAGGAAGCGACACACTTACCCACCTAAGTACCTGGACACATTGTTTTTCACTTTTCAATGTCTGTCTTGGCAATTTTATTCTTTCATGGATTATTTTTTTCTCTAAAGGAGTTGTTCCCAAAATCTATATCAATAATCTCTTCTGAGATCCAGACCCATATTTCCAATCACAACGGTATTCTCTTAGGACTTCAAAGTAACATTTTCTTAAATGTTCATCTCCATTCCCTACCTGCTCAAATACACACAAACTGTTTCTCCAACCTTGTTCTGCAGGTTGGTTAATGGCAATGTCATCTTCTCAGCTGAACAAACTAAAAAAGTGAGAGTCAACTTCTACTTTTGTTTTTCTCTTATCATTTGTATTGAGTCTGTCATTATCTGGCTGCTTCTACTTTGCCAGTGCCTCTTGTATATGTCTTTTTCAATTCATTTCTACTGCCATAATTTAAGTCTCCATTACTTGATACCTAATTTATTAAAAAAGAAATAGCTTTCCTGCCTTCACAATCTCCCCTGCTCTAATCCTTCAATTACACCATATACTGTGCAGTTGTTCCTACTTATCTCTCTTAACACTTTCTTGGTAAAATGTTGTCTATCTTTCAAGACACTCTTCAATAAAACATTATCTGATTTCTAGGGCATACTCTCATTTCTAAGATAGAGGGGAATGTCCAGGTAATACATTTCAATACCATATATTTATTTAAAATTATTGATTGAAGCTGGGAGTGGTGGAGCCTGCCTGTAGTCTCAGCTACTTGAAAGGCTGAAATGGAGGATCAGTTGAACCCAGAAGTTCTAGTCCAGCCTGTGCAACATAGCAAGACCCCCATATGTTTTTAAAAAGTGATTGAACATATACTATATTCCAGATCCTAAACTAAAGATATGTAAGAAAGTAGATATAAGGCTGGAAATTTTAATGCCTTTACTACCAGGCTGGGGTATGTAAGACTTTATTCCCTGGTTAAAGAGAAGCCTCTGGATATTTTTGTAGAAATAGAAAGTTAAAATATGTAAAATGCACATTAGAAGATTCACTTGGTAATAGGCACAGGGCAGTGGTATACTATGATAAGTTTGGGATCATCTGAAACTGGTTTGAGCCACAGTTGGTTACCAACTGTACTGTATCGTACAGATGGTTAAATATTTTTAAATTGAGAAATGATTTTATTATATTTCATGTAAATAAGAATAGTACAGTATCTATTCCTACTTGAAATAAAGAAGATATTTTGTGAGCAATGAAGAAAATCATTCATCATATGTCAGACATATCATTTATATTATTGTGATAATACCTGGAATATAATGTGAAAATGTCTAGATTGTACTGAAATTAGAATAGTGATCAAGAAGGCTATTTTAAAAGCCTAAGCACGTGAGGAAGAGTTAAAGAATCCATTAATGGGATCTAGGAACTCTTTGTACCATTCTTGCAACTTACCTGTAATCTTGAAATTATGAACAAATTAAATTTTTAAGTTATCAAACATCTGGCCACTTTTTAATCTAATATACTGTTTTTTTCAAGGTTCATCAGTCATATAAAATATTATAGAAAAAGAAAAATATTAAGTGTGGTGCTCCATGGCCTCCATTGTACCTACATATTTCCTTCATTAATGTTAGACAAATACATAAAAGTTCAAAATGAGTAAGAATGACCAAGAAAGATGAGACATTCGATAGTTTAAAGGATAG
Source organism: Homo sapiens (assembly GCF_000001405.40). Lineage (NCBI taxonomy): Eukaryota > Metazoa > Chordata > Mammalia > Primates > Hominidae > Homo > Homo sapiens. The sequence goes on along the minus strand of NW_025791778.1, from coordinate 113,105 downwards.
AATCATAAAGAAAAATGAGAGAATGTAGTTATAACCTAAACGGAAGTTCTTCAAGGAAACAAATATATCTAAATAATATTAATAACTTACTTCACTGGGAGGATTTAAACAATCTTCTCGAGACAGCTGAAGGCTTGGGCTGAAGGCCATGAGGTCCGTCTTGGGCGGGCTCTCTGCAGAGCACACCCTCTGCCTCCTCTGCTGCGAGTAAGACCAACTCCCCACGGCGCTGGAGCACACCAGCGTGGGCTTGCCCGGCGCGCACCGGCTCACGGTGGGCGGCGCTGAGCAACGCAGCGCAGTGTACAGCAGCAGCGTGAGCACCAGCAGGCTGGACACCGCACAGATGGCGATGATGAGGTACACGTTAATATCCACCAGAGCCGCTTCGGGATCCACAGCGCCCACTGAGGCCCGCGACGACGTCTTTGGGGCCTGGCCGTTCTCCACCAGCGACACCAGCACCGTGGCCGTGGACGTCAGCGCGGGCTCACCGTGGTCCTTCACCAGCACCAGCAGGCGGTGGCGCGGAGCGTCCGCCTCATCCAGGATGCGTGTCGTGCTGATCTCGCCAGTGTACAGCCCCACGTGGAACGGGATGTGCGCGCCGACCGCCGCCGGTTGCAACTCGTAGGACAGCCAAGCGTTATAGCCGGAGTCAGCGTCCACCGCGCGCACTTTCGCCACCACGTGGCCCGCACCCACCGACCGCGGTACCAACTCGCTAACTGCGCCTCCTGCGCTGCCAGCCGGAGTCGCCAGCAGTGCCGGCGCGTTGTCGTTCTCGTCCAGCACGAACACCTGCAGCGTCACGTTGCTGCCCAGAGGCGGCACGCCGGCGTCGCGCGCGCTCACCTGGAACTGCAGCAGCTCCAGCTCCTCGTGGTCTAGCGGCTGCAGCGCGTACACCTTGCCGCTCTCCGCGTGCACCGACACGTAGCTCGACAGTGCGTGCTCGCCCACCCGCCGCTCCACCAGCGAGTAGGACACCAGCGCGTTCTTCTGCGCGTCCGCGTCCCATGCCGACACCGTGAAGATGTGGCAGCCCGGCGGGTTGTTCTCCTTCACGAACACTGTGTACTCGGGCTGCGCGAACGCAGGCGCATTGTCGTTCACGTCGGCCACCTCCACGGACACTCTAGCCGTGGCCCACAGCGAAGGCGAGCCCCCATCCCGCGCAGTCACCACCAGCTCATAGGCCGACACGCTCTCGCGGTCCAGGGCGCTGTCCAGCACCAACGAGTAGTAATTCTTGTAGGTGGACACCAGCTTGAAGGGAACATGAGGTGTCAGTGAGCAGATGACCTGTCCATTGGCTCCAGAGTCACGATCCGACACGCTAATCAGGGCAATGACGGTACCCACCTGAGCATCCTCTTGCACAGGGAGCGACAGTGAAGTAACCATTACTTCAGGGACATTGTCATTCACGTCCAGAACTTCCACCAGGACCATGCTGTGACCTGCCATGGAAGGAATCCCTTTATCAATGGCGTTAACCTGAATTTCATAGGCATTATTCTCTTCAAAATCCAGTTCACCATAAATTCTAATTTCACCTGTGTCTGGATTTATTGAAAACATACATTTCTCACTCACTGGCAAAATCATTTTGATCCCATAGGAAATTTCTCCATTAAGTCCTTCGTCTGGATCGGAAGCATTTAGTTGGATCACTCTTGTGTCGTTTTGGACATTTTCAGACAACACTACTTTATAGCTGGGCTTATCAAACGCCGGACCATTGTCATTCACATCCAGGACGGTTATTTGAATCTGGACAGACCCTGTTAGTTCTGGTTTACCGCCATCGATTACCATCAGCAATAAATTGAGTTTTGGCGTTTGCTCTCTGTCCAATAACTTCCGAAGAACTAATTCAGGCAATATACTTTTATCTTTTTTTGTTTTTATTTTAAGCTCAAAATTCTCATTTAGACTTAACGCATAGGTCAAAAGAGAGTTTACGCCGATATCCGCATCAGAAGCGCCCTCTAGAGGAAAATGAGAGTCCAGAGGCGCAGATTCAGAAACAGGTACCTTTTGTTCCCTTTCTCTGAACACCGGCGGGTTGTCGTTAATGTCCTTCACCTCCACGTCCACATGGAAAACCTGCAGCGGCCTGTCCACGATCACCTCCAGGTGGATACTGCACTCCGCGCTCCGCCCGCACAGCTTCTCGCGGTCGATCCGAGAATTCACAAACAAAATGCCATTCTGCAGATTTACCTCCAGAAGGTCCCCGTGTCTTTTGGACGCCACCCGGAACAGGCGCGGCACCAGCTCCGCCAGCTCCAGCCCCAGGTCCTGAGCGATGCGGCCCACGAAGGTGCCGTGTTTGGCCTCCTCGTAGACGGAGTAGTGGAGCTGGCCGCTCCCCACCTCCCAGGCTGCAAGGAGCAGAAGCGAGAGCAGCAGACGCTGGGATCCCGGGCCTCTTGGTCCGATAATCACCATTGCAGAAAATGAGGGCCTCTGAGTTGGGACAATCAGTTTTAAGGGATCGCTTGCCTGAGGTATTTTATGAGCAGTCACCCTTTTCTGTAAGTACATATTTAGTAAATTTTTTCCAGCATCACAGTCATTATGGAGTCGATCCTATTCCGTGAATGATTGGAATGTGGGTGCGGAGAAAAAAATTTTCCTGTTTCACCTTCTGAGTGTAGAGCGACATCATGTGACTGATTATGTAAGTACAAGAAAGATCCTGAGGTTCTTTTCGGTTTAGCCACTTCCTGGGTCACTCTTAATTCTAATGTTTCGACTTTGGGTTATTTTTCACGGATCATTTATAAATGCGGGTTTAGTTAATATACATGATATTAGTAACAAAACATCAACAATTTTATTACGCTGTAGCTTAAAAATGTTTTCTGCTTCAAAGTAGAAATCTTTCAAATACAGTAGGCCAGAACCTACACTTTATCATGGAAAATGATATACAGAATAATATACAGCACCCCTCCCCTTATATAGCTTACAATTCCGCTGTTTCAATAACTTTTAACCTTCACAAGCACTCCATCGTAAGATTTTAGAGAAAGTTAGGAATTTGTATTTAACAAAGGATAAGAAACTAAAATATGTCTAATACCAAACAATATTTCATTTATATAAATTGTCTTATTCATAAATCTGATGAAAGTTAGAATTCATCATAAATATGGAGAGCGTTATTGTTTGGTTCCTTGATGCTTGAATGTGATAACTTTTCACATAACTGCTCTCATTTCCATAACATGTTAAAACAAATCTCAGGAATAGATTCTGGAAAGTTTTACTCTAGCAAAAGTAAAGCACTTTAATGTAAAATGTTTAGTTGAAGCCTCCAAATTTCACACTATCCCAAAGCAACAATGGAGCACTAAAATGCGAAAGATCTCTTAAAGGGTTTTGGAGCCTAATCTCATTGACTAAAGTCAAGAGAATGTGAACTTGATATCAACCTTTTGCTTTTTCTCTAAATCTTCCCCTACAGGTCATTTAGTAGTTAGGACATGCTTCTCTTCAGAAAATCAGAATGGTGACTGTTATGCAAGGGGGCATCAAAAGACCTTTCATGAGTTTATTCATTAATTCAAGATCAGCTTTAAGAGAAAAAAACAGATAAGATCCTACAACTCATTGTGAACAAGTACACATAGATTTTGTAAGTCTATTAATACTCAAGTCAAAATCTTTAAACCAATAATTTGTTGCCATTCATTCCTACTGCATATAATAATAAAGGCAACTGAAATATGACACCTTTACAACACCAGGAAAGAGTAACCAAGAATGGCTCTACAAGTATAAGATAACTTAAATAAACTATAAAACGTTAAGTAATTAAAAACATATTTGAATTTTGATGTCATCAGGCTAATTATTTAAATTGTCTAATATCATCACCAAGTTTCTTTCCTATTTTTCATTTTCAAAAGTGGTCAATGTACCATACATGCTAAGGAACTTTAATTTTAAAAAATAGGCTGGGCTCAGTGACTTACACCTGTAATCCCAGCACTTTGGGAGGCTGAGGCAGGCAGATCACCTGAGGTCAGGAGTTCAAGACCAGCCTGGCCAACATGGTGAAAACCCATCTCTACTAAAAATACAAAAATTAGCCAGGAGTGGTGGTGCATGCCTGTAGTCCCAGCTTCTCGGAAAGCTGAGGCAGGAGAATTGCTTGAACATGGGAGGTGGAGATTGCAGTGAGCTGAGATTGCGCCACTGCACACCAGCCTGGGTGATAGAGCAAGACTCTATCTCAAAAAGAAACAAATAATAATAGTGTGTTATGTAGTTCTCACATACTCTTTGACCTAAACAAATTGTTAAGCCAATAGGAACATCTAAGTTTAGCTTAATACTTAAACAACCAAACTAGAAAATAAATTGAAATTATAATTTTATACCATAGAATGCAATCTTGGCATTAAGTATAAAAGACACAACTTTGCAGAAATCAGTCCAAGTAATTTGAATTATCTAAAATGCAAATTTGTTATTTATGTGATATAAAATAATAATTTACAAAATTTTAACCTGTACTGAAAACATTCCCAAGTCTTTAAAAGATCTTCAGTTATTCCAAAAATTTCATCTGGAGATGAGTAATGTATGCCCTATCTAATATTCACCTTTATTATATTTATAAAGTTTCATAAGTGGTATGATGGTTTAATCACTTTTGAGTCTGAAATATTTTATATTTTTATATTGTTGCCTTCTCTTTAATACTTAAAGAATGTTTTTAGCCAATGAATATTATGATACAAAAGCTCTCGATCTAAAGTCTATGAATAGGCTTCAGCATAGACTCTTTGAATATTGTGCCAAATGGTATGTTATGCCTCTATACGGGGGGGAAATAGCTAGATATGATTCTCAAGAAAGTCTGTAATACCACCACTCTACGTGTAGTAAGAATAACTAAATATGAAGAATGACTCAGAAGTAAATGATCTTTGCTCAAATCTTCAGATGGGATGATACTACGTGGAAAGAAAATTTCAAAAACATTAGAGATAAGGCATTACAAGATAGAGCAGTTACAAAGTGAGATGAATGAAACTGATAATTGTCAGTAGGTACTCACATTAATATATTTAATTTTTTCTCTGCTAGATGAATCTGAAAAACTTATGGAAGAATGCCAACTAGCATATATTATAGATAATATAGCCCTATATGCATGTCTTTAGCAAGTTTAGATAATTTGAATAATTTTATTTACCTAGTTTCCTTTGGAATCATAAATCATGCCATTTTGTTTGAGTATCCAATAGTTGACAAATCTCTTGCCTTTTCATGGAACAAAATCAAGAACAGGCAAAAAAAATTATTTTTTCAGATGGGGGTCTCACGATGATAGGTCACTGCAGCCCTGAACCCCTGGGTTCAGGGGATCCTCTCATGTCAGCCTCCCAAGAAACTGGGACTACAGGCATGCACCACTAGGTCTGGCTAATTTTTTAATTTTTTATAGAGACAGGATCTCGCTATGTTGTCCAGGCAGGCCTCGAACTCTTGGGCTCAAGCAATTCTCCTGCCTCAGCCTCCCAAATAGCTGGGATTACAGGCCTGAACCACTTTGCCTGGCAAGAACATGTAGAATTTTAGTCATATTATTTCCATAAAGCAGCATATAAGAATGCAAGGCTTAACTTTTTTCTTCAAACAATATGAAAACAAGTATTATCACAGGAATAAAGACAAAAGTAAAGATTGTTTCATATATAATGAATTTATGATGAACGTTTAACACTGTAAAAAAAAAAAAGAAAAGTAAATCATGTCATACTAATGGAGTATTCTAGCTTTGATACAAGCCTGAAGTTAGGAAAGCCAATGGACTAAGTGCAGTGGCACTGCATTCCCAGCTACTCTGGAGGCTGAAGTGGGAGAATTCTTTGAGCTTAGCAGTTCCAGGCTACAGGTCACCTGTAAATAGCCACTGCAGTCCAACCTGGACATCATAGGAAGACCTCCTCCCTTTAGAAAAACAAAGCCAGTTGATCTAACAATGTGGAAATATCAAGGCAAAACTCTGCTAAAAGACAAAGAGGAGCAAATTTAAATAATCCATAGTTATTATGGTCATAATTGAAGTTTAGAGATGAAGGGGCATGGGTACTTTAGTGAAAATAGTAATTATTTCTACTCAAGTGACTACAGAAGAGTCACTCTTGCATCTCATTTCTTTTAGGATTTGCTAACCAAATATTAAGAGAAATAGGACATTTATTGGTTAAAGAAGCCAGATTATTCATATGATTAAAAGACTGAAGATGTGTATCATTTGGTATTTTATGAACAGACATTGTTATCTAAAACAATATTCAAAACACTGGTTATTCATAAAACTTTCCCTTAAAAAATCCGTGAAAAAAAACTGGATTTTAAATAATTTCACATACACTTCCTGATAGGTGGAATCTGTAGAAAACTCACCTGTCCGGGGTGATTTGACCCTGGCTCCTGTCTTTCCCCTTCCTCCTCTTTATTCAGACCTAGAGGAAGACTGGGGCTGAAGGCCATGAGGTCCGTCTTAGGTGGGCCCTCCTCAGAGCACACCCTCTGCCGCCTCTGCTGCGAGTATGACCAGCTCCCCACCGCGCGGGAGCACACCAGCGTGGGCTTCCCCGGCGCGCACGCGCCCTCAGTGGGCGTTGCCGACCACCACAGCGCCGTATACAGCAGCAGCGTGAGTACCAGGAGGCTGGACACCACGCAGATGGCGATGATCAGGTACACGTTGACATCCACCAGCGCAGCCTCTGGGCTCGCGGCGCCCGCCAAAGTCCGGGAAGAGGCCTTTGGCGCCTGTCCGCTCTCCACCAACGACACCAGCACGGTGGCCGTGGCCGTCAGCGCCGGCTCACCGTGATCCTTCACCAGTACTAGAAGTCGGTGGCGCGGCGAGTCTGCCTCGTCCAGGGCACGCGTTGTGCTTATCTCGCCCGTGTACAGCCCCACGCGGAACGGGATGCGCGAGCCGCCCGCCGCCGGCTGCAATTCATATGAAAGCCACGCGTTGTAGCCTGAGTCCGCATCCACTGCGCGCACCTTCGCCACCACGTGGCCCGCACCCACCGACCGCGGTACTAGCTTGTTAACTGCGCCTCCCGCGCTGCCAGCCTGAGTCGCCAGCAGTGCCGGCGCGTTGTCGTTCTCGTCCAGCACGAACACCTGCAGCGTCACGTTGCTGCTCAGAGGCGGCACGCCCGCATCGCGCGCGCTCACCTGGAACTGTAGCAGCTCCAGCTCCTCGTGGTCCAACGGCTGCAGCGCGTACACCTTGCCGCTCTCCGCGTGCACCGACACGTAGCTCGACAGCGCGCGGTCGCCCAACCGCCGCTCCACCAGCGAGTAGGACACCAGCGCGTTCTCCTGCGCGTCCGCGTCCCGCGCCGACACTGTGAAGATGTGGCAGCCTGGTGGGTTGTTCTCCTTCACGAACACGGTGTACTCGGGCTGTGCGAACGCAGGCGCATTGTCGTTCACGTCGGCCACCTCCACGGATACCCTGGCCGTGGCCCACAGAGAAGGCGAACCCCCATCCCGCGCAGTCACCACCAGTTCATAGGCCCACACGTTCTCGCGGTCCAGGGCGCTGTCCAGCACCAACGAGTAGTAATTCTTGAAGGTGGACACCAGCTTGAAGGGAACGTGGGGCGTCAGCGAGCAGGTCACCTGTCCGTTGACACCTGAGTCACGGTCAGACACGCTGATCAGGGCAATGACCGTGCTGGGCTGAGCGTCCTCTCGTACTGGGAGGGACAAGGAAGTCACGGCGACTTCAGGAGAGTTATCGTTGGTGTCCAAGATTTCCACCCAGACTGTACAGTGACCTGCCATTGGGGGAGTCCCCTTATCTGTAGCCTGTACTTCAATTTTATAAAACTTGTTTTCTTCATAATCTAAAGTTCCATTGACCCTCACTTCTCCATTATTTTGATCTAGTGTAAATAAGTGTCTTCCATTGGGCTTAATTGACATTAAGGAGTATGTTACCTCTCCATTGACTCCTTCGTCTCGGTCTGTGGCGTTTAGTTTGAGCACAAGAGTTTCTTTAGCAGCATTTTCCATAAGGCTCACCTTATATTCTGATTTATCAAACTCTGGATCATTGTCGTTGACATCCAAGACTTGGACTAACAGCCGAACGGTGCCAGTAAGCTCTGGTTTTCCCCCGTCTGTAGCTGTTAGCAGCAAATTAAGTTCCGGAGTTTTCTCTCTATCCAGAGACTTCTTTAAAATAAGTGACAGTCTTTTAATCTGCTTACCATTTGTTGGTGAATCTAAAGAAAAATACTCATTTTTACTTAGCCTGTAGGTCAATAGAGCATTCTCTTCAATGTCAGCATCAGAAGCTCCCTCTAGTGGAAAACGCGAGTCCGATTGCTTAGATTCCGCAATCAGCAGCTTTTGTTCTCTGAGCGAGAACACCGGCGGGTTGTCGTTAATGTCCTTCACCTCCACGTTCACATGGAAAACCTGCAGCGGCCTGTCCACGATCACCTCCAGGTGGATGCTGCACTCCGCGCTCTGCCCGCACAGCTCCTCGCGGTCGATCCGAGAATTCACAAACAAAATGCCATTCTGCAGATTTACCTCCAGAAGGTCCCCATGTGTTTTGGACGCCACCCGGAACAGGCGCTGCACCAGCTCCGCCAGCTCCAGCCCCAGGTCCTGCGCGATGCGGCCCACGAAGGTGCCGTGTTTGGCCTCCTCCGAGACGGAGTAGTGGAGCTGGCCGCTCCCCACCTCCCAGAATTCGAGGAGGAGAAGCCAGAGCTGTAGTCGTGGGGTGCCCAATCCCCTTCTCTGAAAACCAAACATCGCATACGAAATTGGCTTCCAAAATAAGCTTCTTTACACTTACAGTACCAGATTCTTCAGTTTCAGGTTAAAAATCTCGTTGAATTCTTAAGAAGTTTCAAAGGATCCTTAAACGGTGGCATCCGGTATGATGGAGTTCCTTTGTATGGGAGTGCCTCACTGTTCAGACCAACCTTTAAATGAACTTTCCACCAAGTAAAGAGCGACACCTTGCGCCTAAAACTGTGAGTACTGTGCACTGCATTTACCACCACAGAATTTCACGTGTTTTGGGTTTCTTCCCCCAAATATTTCCAACGTGCTTATTTATGGAATATTCAGATTATAAGTCATATTGAAACTAAATATATATGGAAATGGCATTGTATTTCTCGATTAACATCAAATTTAAATTATTGTGTCTATGTTTGACTTAACATTATAACATTGTTCTTTTACTTATCTAAAATACTTATACACAGAGTGAGAGAGAAAGAGAATTCAGTTGTTAAGGTGGCCTCATGAAAAACTAGGGTTAAACATTTCCTGAAAGTGTTGTTCCTCATATAAAAATACTATCAAATTTGAATTGTTTTACTTTCAGTCTCCCTTGTTACTTTGGCTGCTAGGGAACTCAAAGAAAAAATTGAAGTTTTATAAAAGCAGCTCTTTAGTGTTTATGTTCCACATGATCTATTCTCATCTCTGTGGGCTTGCATTTTCATATCTATTTTCTATAGTTCTCATTCTTTACTGTTATTTACATTTAATTGCTTTCTGATTATAAGTGACTTTATATTCATTGCAGAACAATATGAAAAACAAATATATTCATATTCTCAAACTTGGTAGTTTTAAAAAAGAATCCACAAAGGAAAAGTCTATTGATCTAGATGAGTTTTTATTTGACATATATTATTTCTAATGTAAGCCATAGTAGCATAATATGAGATATCAAAATTTAGCACTTTATGTAACAGAATCAATGATATGACAGAAATAGGCTTTTCAACTATAAAATAAATTTTATTATCATTTTATAAAATAAATAAAATCACCCTGAACATCTTTGTGCCATATTGGTATTTCCAAGTCACCAACATTGGTTTCCTTAATCTAATTCAGTTATATTCATGAAAATAGTTTGTTTCTTGTTGAAAGAATTTTGGGTTTGGGAGCAGAAGTTCATGGAAAACAAGGGAAGTGATTTTTAATTATACCTTCTGTAAGTACCTGATATTGTGCTTAAAACATAGAAAATTAATCAAACAATTCAACTAAATGGTAAATTACCTTAGTGCTTGTGGAAATGGAATTTCATAGAAAATGCTAAGTAAAATACAGGAATTGCTTATGAGAGTTTTCTTTGCCTGAAGTTGTAACTTGCTTGAATTTTCTTTGTCTTTTCATATACCCTTAGGATTTAGGAGGAAAAAAAGAAGATGCAACAAAATTTTAGAGTAGAAAGTGATTTAGAATAAATATCACTCTAGCTTAAATATTTTGTTCTATAGTTTTGATGGTTTATCTCCAATCTAAAAATACTGCAAGGGCATATGAAAAAGTTATCATATGTGTATGCTAATATTTTATATATATATTCAACTATTAATTTGAGATTTTGTTCTACTTTTTTCATATTTACTCTTTTCCCAATGTTGTCATAACACTAGAACTCTAATTCAGGTAAATGCAAAATTCTGTATTAAAAAATTAAAGGAGACATATCAACTTTTATAACCGTTAATTCCATTACGCATCTGTAAAATAATCAATCATAGTAGCCTCTAATCAAAACATAACATTAGACCAGATGACAGTATATTCAACATGATATTTGAAGCACATCAGGTTTATTTTGAACAAAAGGAAACAACAGATCCTCAATCACCTTATTATGGGAATTGGGGATGAAGATGTTACATGGAATGTGGAGTCTTGCGAGGTAGGGAAATGAACCTTAGAAGGTTTACTCTGGAAAAATGATAATATCACATATTTGAATTAAAACAATATGTTAATTTAGGTGTTAATTTCCAACAATACAGTATTTTGTGAATATATAAAGTAGTACTGAACAAACGCCAAGTCATAAAAGAGTTTGATATAGTGTATGAATCAATGACCCATCTTTTGCATTTTGGCTGTGATATTTCAGATGTCACCATCTCAACCAGCCCCTAGTGAAGAGATTATGCGCCCTTTGAACTCATCTTTGAGGATCAGCCTAATATCTGGGTATAGGCTAATACCAAGAAGTCATTTCAATACAGTTATTGTTAACTGATTTTGTAAAATCAATTGAAGATTAAGGAACTTTGTGCCTGACTTTTACTATATCAGTCAGGACATACAATCTGCCTGTATGTCCTGTTAGTCATATAAGTATTAGAGTGCATAGTTTAATGTCTTACTAGTGCACGTCATCCACTGATATTCTAACAGACCTAGTGCTATTATTTCTTGAAAACACATAAATAAATTTTGACACCGTTGTCAGAACCCCAGGAGGTTCTCCAAAACCAACAGATTAGAATTACATTATCCAACCACTGTATTAACAAAATTATAGGATTTATTCCGTGATGCTAATTCTGCTCTATCATGGCTTAGTCAAGTAAAAACAGTTATTTGGTCACAAATCATTTGTCAGTTGTTATGAGCTTCCCAGCCAACAATAAGACTGAAGAAGACTGAAAGACCTACACACATTTGAAGATTTTCATGGGAATCTATGTCTTTAAAATTGTTATTGAAGTATGCAATATTGTAAACATTTCTTGAATCCTTTGGCCAAGTTCAGGGTCCCTGAAATAATAATATCAACATCTATACTTGTCCCAAACACTGTCTTTATTCACAGTAAAGAAAGAAGGGTGTCATTTTTGGTATATAGTATTTAGTTTAGGTGTTCCACAAGGATATTGGAAACCACAGTTTTCTGACTTTTCTTACATGTTAAACGATTCTTACTTATATCACTTCCAAACAACAGATACGTAGTTCTTATAAGGCAACTCTTAATTACTTAACAATTACATAACCAAAATACCTATCTCAGTGTGGCATTGATTAAAACAAATGATAATGATGATCACGAACTCTTACAAGAAAAAAATCACTTAACATAAAAAAACTTAGTGCCATCTCAATCACACATTGTACAAAATTAATGATGAAGACAATCATGAAGTTTCTTCTAAGCACAACAGAAAGAAAGATTTGCCTGTACACAATTTGTGCTTGATTTTCCTAGCCGAGACCATGTTTGAGCAGAGAAATGACTTACTAAAGAAAGCTCTACATTATAGTGGATAAAAGAATGAGTCTGAAGCCTGAAAGATACACATTTGAATAATATCTCCACCATGTACTGGCACTGGATAAAATAGATACACATCTCAGCTTCTCTTATTTTATCTTTCAAATTGGAACAGTCATATGTACTTTAGAAATTGTTATAAGTATTAAATGAAATAATGTATTTAAGTCCCTTCATGATGTCTAACAAATATATTAATAAACTGCTCAAACAATGGTGATTTATTATCATGAGTTACTGATCAATATTGGCTCTTGTCCTATAGCTATGGATGAAGAGAATTCCAGCACCATAAAGTAGGACAGGGTTTTCCCTTTTCTGAAGATTTCCTTAATGTTTATCTTCATAGAAATCATCTTCTCAGAAGTTATTTTTCTAGGTAGACACTACTAATTCCTTTTCAGCATTTATATTAACTTTACCCTACCTATAACATGGTTATCCTGCAATATGTAAATATACTATTTCTTTACACAGAATTAAAGGCCATCTCATTTGTAATTAGAGCCAAAAAGAGCAAAGTAATTTTACATATAATTTGATACACATCCTTACAGCTATAAATACGTGTTCTCTGGGATCCCTTTAAAGAAAGCAATTCACATTAATATGGTGTGAAGGCAAAAAATATTTTGCATCAAATATATCAAAAGTATACAATGTTAAATTCTAAGGTATAATTAACACCACAATTGTCAAGTGGAAGTGCCTTTATTAATATCCCATGGTTCTTATACTTAAGTTATTAAAAACAATGACATTTTTTGGTAGAGATGGGGGTCTCACTATGTTGCCGAGGCTGGTCTCAAACTCCTGGTCTCAAGCGATCCTCCTCCCTCGGCTTCCCAAAATGCTGGGATTACAGGCCTGAGACACCCTGCCAAGCTCAGCAATGCCATTCTGAAGACCATGCAGCTTAATGAACACAGACAATGGTATCACCCTTCATCATGTATGGGAAGACTCTCTTATACTTAAAGCCCAAATAAGTGTGAATTTTCCTACCCTAAAATATTTTCATACAGCCAGGTACCAAAAATGAAAGAAAAATGAGTATAATCGGTGCTCAAAGAAATCTTCCCAAAATAGTAGAAGAGCTCAACAACTTAAACTGGAGGACAGCAGCAATTAAGTCAACAGGTAATTAAGTAGAGCTGACATTGTTTTGTTTTGTTTTCTTTTTAAAAAAGAACAAAGTTGTTGGCTATCTGAAGTAGTTGAAGATTGTGAAGACAATGACCTAAAATGAAATTATAAGAAGATTGAAGACAAAAATTAAGAAGTAAAATCACCTTTAAAGGCAAGGCTAAAATTCCACCCACTGCAATCAACATCTCAAAAAAGATGGATATTGATCATGAAGAAACAAAATTGTTTGTGGACGAAGCTGCCTCAACCCTGCTCATCACCATTTGTGAGAGATAAACTTATCGATTATAGAAAGATAAACATTTAAACATGTTTTAAACTCAAATAATTATGATATTAAATATTGTCATGGTATTTTTGAATACATAAAAACAATAAGGAATGGAGGACACAAATCAGAATAAGAAAATGAATAGGAATAAAGAACTTGCTTCAAAATTGAGAAGATTTGACCTTCTCATAAGGATCATTATTCATCATGATCCTTCCGGTAAGATTTAACTTTCTCATTTACAGGAAACAGCCACTCAGTCTAATTCATTATTACTATTATCATTATACTTATCAACTGAAGAATATTCCTAAAGAATGTTCATGGTGACTGTAGTAAAAAGTGATTAAGATGGCTAGACTTCCAATGTACTTTTTTTTTTAAGACAGAGTTTCACCCTGTCTCCCAGGCTGTAGTGCAGTGGCCTAATCTAGGCTCACCGCAACCTCTGCCTCCTAGGTTCAAGCAATTCTTGTGCCTCAGCCTCCTGAGTAGCTGGGATTACAGGTGCGCACCACCACACCCAGCTAATTTTTTTATATCTTTAGTAGAGATGGAGTTTCACCATGTTGGCCAGGCTGGTCTCAAACTCCTGGCCTCGAGTGATCCGCCCGCCTCGGCTTCCCAAAGTGCCGGGATTACAAATAGGCATGAGCTACCGCACCCGGCCCCAGTGTACTTTAAATAAAGCATCTCAAAAGAAAAAGCAAAAGCAAAATAAATAAAGCAATCAAATTAATAACTTGGTGAACATTATCAATGTCACTATGAGGGACATTAATAGGAATGAAATACTTTCCAGGATTACAGTACTTATATTCTCAAAAATTTCCTATTGAAGTCCATCTCCAAAATCTGAACCATGGGAGAACACTAGGACTAAAAGCCGTAATGTTGACCTTGGGAGGCGACTCTCCAGAGTAAAATCTCCTTTGCTGCGAGTAAGACCAGATCCCACTACGCTGCGGTACACCAGCGTGGGCTTGCCCGGCATGCACGAGCTCTCGGTGAGCTGCGCCAAGCACCGCAGCGTCGTGTACAGCAGCAACGTGAGCACTAACAGGCTGGACACCACGCAGATGGCGATGATCAGGTACACGTTGACATCCACCAGCGCTGCCTCCCGGACCTCGACGCCCGCCAAAGCCCGCGATGGGACCTTCCTCGCTTGGCTGCTCTCCGCCAGCGACGCCACCACGGTGACGGTGGCAGTCAGCGCCAGCTCGCAGTGGTCCTTCACCAGCACCAGCAGGCGGTGGCGCGTAGCTTTCGCCTCGTCCAGGGTACTCGTCGTGCTGATCTCGCCCGTGCAGAGCCCCACGTGGAACGGGTGCTGCCAGCTGACAGATGCAGCTGTTGCGACAACCAGGCGTCATAGCTGGAGTCCACCGTGCGCACCTTCGCCACCAAGTGGCCTGCATCCACTGAATACCGCACCAGCTCACTCACAGCGCCGCCAGCCCACCCAAGGCGCCAGCAGCGCAGACAAAGTTGTCGTTCCAGCACTAATACCTGGCAGCGTCACATTGCTGCTCAGAGGCGGCATGCCCGCGTCGCGCGCTCTCACCTAGAACTGCAGCAGCTCCAGCTCCTCGTAGTCCAGTGGCTGCAACGCGTACCTCTTGCCGCTCTCCGCGTGCACCCACACATAGCTAGACAGCGCGCACTCGCCCACCCGCTGTTCCATCAACGAGTAGGACACCAGCACGTTCTCCTGCGCGTCCCGGTCCCGCGCGGACACTGTGAAGTCGTGGCAGCCCCGCGGGTTGTTACCTTTCACGAACACCATGTACTCGGGCTGCTGGAACGCCAGGGCATTGTGGTTCACTGTTCGGCCACTTCCACGGACCCGATGGCTGTGGCCAACAATGAAAGCGAGTCCCCATTCCGAGCGATTACCAACAATGGATAGATTTGCTCTCTTGGTCCAGGGCGCTGTGGAGTACCAACGAATAGTTTCTGGGCAGCGCCTTTTGAAGGTAGACACCAGCTTGAAGAGACGTGAGGAGTCAGGGTGCGGGTCGTCTGTCCCTTGGCACTGAAGTTAGGGTCAATTACACTGATTAGGGCTATGACGGTACCCAGTGGAGCGTCCTCCTGTACAGGGAATGATAGTGACTTACTGCTAACTCTGGAACACTATC
Source organism: Homo sapiens (assembly GCF_000001405.40). NCBI lineage: Eukaryota > Metazoa > Chordata > Mammalia > Primates > Hominidae > Homo > Homo sapiens. Next base: position 97,414 of record NW_025791778.1, on the reverse strand, counting down.
ATTGATGTCCAAGACTTCTATCAAGTCTGTGCAGTGATCAAACATTGGGGAATTGCCTGTGTCAACTGCCTGTATTTGAATCTTTCATTATTTAGTTTCCTCAAAACCTATCTTTACATTTATTTATCCACTGTCTGAATCTATGCGAAAAAGGGCTTCTATGTTAGGGGAGACATCAGTTGCAAAGAAACAATGTGACGGTTTGAACCCTCGTCAAAATCCAAGGGGTTAAGTCTAATAACCAGTGTACCTTCTCTTGCATTTTCCAGTAATTTCACATGATAGACTCCTTTGTCAAACACTGGGCATCATCATTTACATCCAGCGCTGTGATATATAATGCTTTGGTGCCTGTCAGCTCAGCTTCGCCCCCATCAGTTGCTTTGAGCACCAAGAGTAGCTCTGAAGTGACTTACCTATCTGAAAGAATTTTTAAAATACACCTTCAAGTGGTTTTACCTGCTCTTGGTATTTCCAGGGAAAAATAATCATTGCGGCACAGTATGTAAGTCATCAGAGCATTGGCCCCGACGTCGGCATCACAGACACCCTCTAGTGAAACACGATAATCAAGAGCTCTCGTTTCAGAAACAGATTCTTTTGTGTTGCTGAGAACACTGGCAGGTTGTCTTTATTGTTCTTCACTTTCACCTCCACATGGAAAACCTGTAGCAGCTTGTCCACGATCACTTCCAGGTGGATGCTGCACTCCGAGATCCTCCCACACAGCTCCTCGAGGTCTATCAGAGAACTCACAAAAATGCCATTCTGCAGATTTACCTCCAGAAGGTTTCTGCGGCTTTTGGAATCCAACTGAAACAGGCGCGGTATCAGCTCCACAAGCTCCAGACCCAGGTCCTGCGCAATAGGGACCGCGAAGACGCTATGTGCCGTCCTTGGCCTCTTCCAGGATGGTGTAGTGGAACTGGTCCTTTCCCGCTTCACAAAATTCAAGGAGCAGAAGCCAGTGCTGTAGGCTCCGGGATTCCTGGCCACTTTGTCTAGCAGCTAAAATTATGCCTCTCTTTTGGTTAGTAAAACAATATTTCATGACTAGAAAGACTTAGTTCCTCTGAGACCTTTTGGTCCTTGTTCCTGAGGTTCCAAGTGGTCTTAATGGGTGTTTGTAGTTTTTAAAGTACAGGAACAATGGAGCTTCTTTCTGATCTAGGAATAATCTGATTTTCTTCTGTTAAAAAAAATACCTTTCGGCCGGGTGCGGTGGCACTCGGCCAGCACTTTGGGAAGCCGAGGCCGGTGGATCACGAGGTCAGGAGATCTAGACCATCCTGGCTAACACGGTGAAACCTCGTCTCTACTAAAAATACAAAAAATTAGCCTGGCGTGTTGGCGGGCACCTGTAGTCCCAGCTACTCCGGAGGCTGAGGCAGGAGAATAGCGTGAACCTGGGAGGCGGAGCTTGCAGTGAGCCGAGATCGTGCCACTGCACTCCAGCCTGGGCAACAGAGCGAGACTCCGTCTCAAAAAAATAAAAAATAAAAAACAAAAAAACCAAAAAAACTTTTCATGGAGAACAACAATATCCTGTCGCTCAAAACATAAGTGCATTTGATTTCATATTATTTCACTTATCTTCTTCGTTCCTGATTCCTGCATATGTTTATGTTTCTCTTTGTGAGCTTCCAACTCCTTTCCTATACCTTCTTGTGTATGATCAGTACCTCTTCAAAGGTGGGTTTGTCTTACAAATCAGAATTCCATGAAGAGTTTTATCTTGTATGTAGACATCCTAAATAAAGTACTACTGCACCAACTGTATTATCACGTGAATTAATATGAAAAAGATCATATTTGCAGGATAATGGTGTTACTATTGCTTTTGCTTTTTTCAATTTTTGAAATAGGGTCTCACTTTGTCATCCAGGCTGGAGTGCAGTGGCACAATCATGGGTCACTGCAGCCTCAACTTCCCAGGCTCAAGCCGTCCTCCCACCTCACCCTCCCAAGTAGCACTACAGTAGGGACTAAAGGCATGTACCACCATGCCTGGCTTATATATACATAAGTACATATATAGATATATATGTAAGGAGAGCCCATCATATATATATACATATATATATACACATATATACATATATATACACACACACACAGTACAAGATATCCCTATGTCGCCCAGGTTGGTCTTGAACTCCTGGCCTCAAACCATCCTCCCACCTTGGCCTCTCAAAATGCTGGGATTACAGGTGTGAGCCACCATGCCTGGCCTTAAGTTAGTATTGATGGAGAGATTAATGCACTTGTATACCTGAGACTTTTACAATTGATATGAGTTTTTACTAAGTTTTTTATATTACTTATAATATAAGACATTAAGGAAGATTTTTTTTCAAAATATCAGAGGGGGAAGTATATATTTCATAAACCTATTTGATAAAATAACAAATACACTTCTAAACTCTGCATTAACTTAGCATCTATAATTTCTAAGAGCTGGAGACAGGGCATGGAGAGTATTAACACTGAAAGAATGCCATGCTTAAATTCTTGCCACAATTTTTTTTTGGTGTTCCTAAACTTGAACAATAATTTTAATTTTATTTGAAGCTATTTGTGAAGCACGTACTGAGTAACAAATTCAATCTCCATACTCAAAGAGAAAGGAAAGAAAAAAGTAATTGCTAAGAGCCATAGGCAAGATGACAAATTCATGGCATTGGTGTTTGGTAACACTAGAATTAATAAATTTTTTTTAAAAATGAAATCATGGGTATCAGGTAACAACCAATTTCAGGAAAACACAATTGATAGTGTAGTTTTGTCACTCTGCAACTAAGTTAGCTTTCATTTCTGAGTCTATATCATCTAACCCAACCCTGTTTAAGATGACTAGAGAAGCTATTAAACTATACAATATATCAGATCAGTAGAAAACATTAATTTTATTTTCTCCTCAAACTTTTAATATTAATTCATACTAAAGTATTTTCAGTCTCAAAAGTAAAAAGTGTTCAAATTCTCTTCATTATTAAACATAAGCATGACTCCTTCCTTAAAGTGAAAGAGCTAATACCTGAATATCATAAGCAATGCCTAATGCTGATAAAGGAGCAGATAATGAAGAGCTACTGGATAAAATTATGTAAATAAAAGAAACATACATTTTCTTCTGCTAAGTGAATAATACACACTGACACAGGTACCACTACAACTAAAATAAAAATGGAAAACGTTTTTAAAGTTCAAAGCATTTAACTTAATTGCTAAGATTAAGAAATTTTTACCAATGAACTGCCCACCTACTTACTGCACTATTGAGAAAAAGCTGTAATCACTGAACATTGAAATCTACTATGGCAGTATAAGCTGTGGTACGCTACACATATTCTACACATGGAGGAAAACACATTTTCACTGAAGAGATATAGATCAGTGGAATTTTTTGGTAATGCAAATACAATCAAATCAAAATTTAGATTGGAAATGAAATAACATGAAGTACTAATCTCACAAATATTTGTAACGAAAAGTGATTATGAAAGTAAATCGTCAGAACTGCAACCTATATCACATATTTGTATTGGAAAATATTAGTGTATTCAGAATAAATTGTTATTTAAAAAAATTTAAGTACCAATCAAAGGCTGACACACTGGGTAGGATAAAAAAATTTTAAAACTCCTGGAATAAATTATATTACAAAGGTATCACTAGAAATATTCAAGCATAAATGGAATGTAGACAAAAATGAAATATTCTGATACATATTTGAGAAAATGCGGTAAGAGAAAATATTATTCATAAAGCACAAAAGGAAAATGAAAACGTAATAACCCACCTTCCTAGAGTGGTCCCCTCCAATAGACTGATCTTCCCCGTCCACATCTACCATTGGGCATGGTGGAAGGCTGGGGCTGAAGGCCATGAGGTCCGCCTTGGGCAGGCCCTCCCCAGAACACACCCTCTGCCGCCTCTGCTGCGAGTAAGACCAGCTCCCCACCGCGCTAGAGCACACCAGCGTGGGCTTCACCGGCCCACATGCGCCCTCGGTGGGCGCCGCCGAGCACCTCAGTGCAGTGTACAGCAGCAGCGTGAGCACCAGCAAGCTGGACACCGCGCAGATGGCGATGATCAGGTACACGTTGACATCCACCAGGGCCACCTCGGGCGCCACGCCCACTGAAGCCCGCGACGAGGCCTTGGGTGCCTGGCTGCCCTCCACAAGCGACACAAGCACAGTGGCCGTGGCCGTCAGCGACGGCTCGCCATGGTCCTTCACCAGCACCAGTAGGCGCTGGCGTGGCGAGTCAGTCTCATCCAGAGCGCGCGTCGTACTGATCTCGCCCGTGTACAGCCCCACGCGAAACGGGATGCGTGCACCAACCGCCGCCGACTGCAATTCATACGACAGCCACGCGTTGTATCCAGAGTCAGCGTCCACTGCGCGCACCTTAGCCACCACGTGACCCGCAACCACCGACCGCAGCACCAGCTCACTGACTGCACCGCCCGCGCTGCCAGCGGGAGACGCCAGCAGCGCGGGAGCGTTGTCGTTCTCGTCCAGCACGAACACCTGCAGCGTCAAGTTGCTGCCCAGAGGCGGCACGCCCCCATCGCGCGCGCTCACCTGGAACTGTAGCAGCTCCAGCTCCTCGTGGTCCAGCGGCTGCAGCGCGTACACCTTGCCGCTCTCCGCGTGCACCGACACGTAGCTCGACAGCGAGCGCTCGCCCAACCGCCGCTCCACCAGAGAGTAGGACACCAGGGCGTTCTCCTGCGCGTCCGCGTCCCACGCAGACACCGTGAAGATGTGGCAGCCTGGCGGGTTGTTCTCCTTCACGAACACCGTGTACTCGGACTGCGCGAACGCAGGCGCGTTGTCGTTCACGTCGGCCACCTCCACAGACACGCTGGCCGTGGCCCACAGCGGAGGCGAGCCCCCGTCCCGCGCGGTCACCACCAGCTCATAGGCCGACACCCTCTCGCGGTCCAGAGCGCTGTCCAGCACCAATGAGTAGTAATTCTTGTAGGTGGACACCAGCTTGAACGGAACGTGAGGCGTCAGAGAGCAGGTGACCTGTCCGTTGGCTCCTGAATCATGGTCAGAAACGCTGATTAGGGCAATGACGGTGCCCACTTGAGCATCTTCTTTCACTGGGAGAGACAGAGAAGTGACAATCACCTCAGGTGAATTATCATTTTCATCCAGTAGTTCCACTAGGACCGTGCAGTGACCAACCATAGGTGGGTTTCCCTTATCTGTAACATCTACATGAATTTCATAAGTGTTACTGTCCTCAAAGTCAATAGCATCATTTACTTTTATTTCTCCCGTCCTTTCGTTTATCCAAAATTTCCTTCTTATCGTGGGTGGGACCAAAGAGCTAAATGAATACATCATTTCCTTGTTTATTCCTTCATCCGAATCAGAAGCGTTGAGCCGTATTACTAATGTTTGGTTCACTTGATTTTCATACATCTTAACTTCATAAACCGGTCTGTCAAAGATAGGGGCGTTATCATTGGCATCTAACACCAGGATCAGCAGAGAAACAGATCCGGTAAATTCAGGTTTGCCTCCATCAGTTGCTGTCAACAACAACTTTAGCTGAGGATTTTCTTCACGATCCAGCAGCTTCCGCAGAACAAGCACTGGGAATTTGTCTTTGTCTTTTTTGTTTATAATATCAAGAACAAAATACTCATTTGGACTGAGTTTGTAAGTAAGCAATGCGTTCTCTCCAACATCCGCATCAGATGCGCCTTCTAGTGGAAATCGAGAGTCAAGCAGTCTGGATTCAGGTATTGAGAGCTTTTGTTCTGTTACGGAGAACCTGGGCGGGTTGTCGTTAATGTCCTTCACTTCCACGTCCACATGGAAAACCTGCAGCGGCCTGTCCACGATCACCTCCAGGTGGATGCTGCACTCCACGCTCCGCCCGCACAGCTCCTCGCGGTCAATCCGAGAATTCACAAACAAAATGCCATTCTGCAGATTTACCTCCAGAAGGTCCCCGTGTCTTTTGGACGCCACCCGGAACAGGCGCTGCACCAGCTCCGCCAGCTCCAGCCCCAGGTCCTGCGCGATGCGGCCCACGAAGGTGCCGTGTCTGGCCTCCTCGTAGACTGAGTAGTGGAGCTGGCCGCTCCCCACCTCCCAGGCTGCGAGGAGAAGAAGCGAGAGCAGCAGACACTGGACCCCCAGGCAGCTACATCTGGAAACCATCTTATCCTTCTCTTGTTTTACAAATCGACGAATCAGCGGTCTAGAACGCACATACGATCTGACATTTTCTGTCCTATTTCTTATATCTATTTTTTATCGAAATGGCTGAGATCTCAGAATGACGCTACTTCCTAGTCCTTGAGAAACTGGCTGATGCCTTTGTTCTAAAAAGCTATTTTGTGGACGACAGCGACATCCGGTGGCTTTAGGTGTAAGTACGATTCCATGAGTTCACAACTTTTCTTTCATTCATATGTTAATTCTTTTTTTACGTATTTTTATGTCTATGGACTTTCAAAGCCTCACATTACGTCTCTTTATAGTTAATAACAATAAATGTTGATCCCACGTGCAATGTTTTCTTAAATGTAGACTCTCAGAGTAGTGATTTCTTCCCTAACCACATGATTATCAATAGCCGAATTTCAAAATGCCCTTAATATTTGCATACTACTGAGTATACTAATATTTTATTAAATGACAACTTTAGTTCCATTTAAGTTCTGACACTTAACTTACTTCTCTTTCTCATTATTTTGAGATTTAATAAGGTTTATTTAGACACTAATGTCAAGCATCAACTATCTGTGAGGTGTTTATAACTCCGAAGATCTAGTCATCACTAGAATTTAGAGATCATTAGCTTCAACATCAGACATTTCTCCATTTAGATTCCTATTATCCTACTCACTAGCCACATGACTTGGGAAAATCGTTTAACCTCTCCCTCCCTCATGTTCCAATTTTATAACTTTGGCCTAATAGTAATACGGTGGTTGAGTGAATTATAATATAGTAAGTGCTTGCAATAGTACCTTAAGGAGAATGAGTGCTTCATAAATGGAAACTATTCTCAGGCCTCAATTTGGCCACATTTGTTTTCATGAGGCTCAATACCAAATTTGGCTCATCAGGCAAAATTATTACCTATAGAATGCCTTAATTATTGCTACTGCACAGGCTGAGAGTGGTGGTTTCTGTATTTAAGAAAACAGAAAAGTACTATTACAGAAAAATCCTTTATACAAGAAGTTTCATTTTATAATATCTTACACGGGCAAAAAGAATCTTAATTATAATTCTGAATAAAGTAATTAAGAAATTTATTATTTCTGCTTTCAGAGGCAAATGCTTTCAACCCTGTTATATTTACGCTTTTCAAATGCCCAAAAGACACAGTTCTGAAATATATCTAGTAATTTTATCAATGTCAGTGAAGTTTTTCATCACCACTTGCAGTAAAAATATTTTTTTCTCTCTCAAAGTTCTTGAAATCAAATATTCAGGAATGAAAATGTAATATATCTGTGCTGCTGAAAAAAACTTGAGTTTTCTGTCTTTCCAAGAAAGGAAAACTTAACAACAGACATATTGGTCTTATGCAAGGGTTAATTTATTTTATTTAATGATGTTTTGACTTTTCTAAAGAATATTTTTAAATGTGTCAATTACTTTAAACTTTTTTTATTAAAATCTGAATGACAGAGCAACAATATTTATGAATAAGAAAACTGACAGAAATGGGTGTCACTTAATCCATCAGTTTATGTGTCCTACTAAATTCTGTTTCTATACTTCTCTACTCCTCTGGAATGCCTCTTGCATCAAAATTCATTCAAATTCTGATTTTAGAGATTACTTTTTTATAAACCCTGAATTAAAATGTAATGAGTTATGTATCAAAATATCAACGTTTGTTTTAGCTATCTGGAGCGTAAAATAAGTTTGCCATTGATCAATCATCTCCACGCACAAAATAATAAAAACTAAACTCAATTTCTACTAATGTACATTTTATACCAAGTGATAACATAAATATCCCAATGTAGATGTCCAATATTGAATAAAAAGTAGGGAGTAGTTAAACTACTCTTTTTTTTTTTTTTTTTGAGACAGAATCTTGCTGTCACCCGGGCTGAAATGCAGTTGTGCCATCACAGTTCACTGCAGCCTCAATGTCCCAGGCTCAAGCGATTCTCTCGCCTCAGCCTCCTGAGTAATTGGGACTAGAGATGTGTGCCACCATGCCCGGCTAATTTTTTTTTTTTGGCAGAGATGAGTCTCACTACATTGGTCTCAAACTGCTGGGCTCAAGGAAGGGACCCTCCCACCTTGGCCTCCCAAAATGTTGGGATTGCAGGTGTCAGGCCACCACATCTTTTTAAATTACAGAAACTTGCACTGTCAAGTATCAAATAGGGCTATGGATCTAAAATTTCGGTTGTATGAGAATCATCTCAGGTGTGCTTTAAAATGAAAATTTGCTCTTACTACCCATTTCAGAATTTCTGAGGTGGAGCCTTGAACCAGAACATTCAATGAGGACTTAGGTGCTGCTAATGCTAATGCGTTAGCAGGTCTAAGGATAGGTTGACCATAGGCCCCAATTTGTCTGGAACAGGCTCAATTTAGGTCTGTGATCTTGTATACTTATTTACAGCACCCCCTTTGCTCTCAAAGTGTCTAAGATATTGGGTGACAACTTAGTTTTTCCTATATAGTAATTACAACTTGAAAAGAGACATAGGAGGAGCTTCATTATTGTTTCATGATTCTAACTTGAATTGAGGAATGTTAACTACAGATGCATATAAGGAGACCTATTAGGCAAAATAGGAAAGTGTCTCTTCTGCTTTCACCTCTCTGTTTTGAACTTGACAGGCTGTTTTGAATTTTACCATCTCTGGATCCCTGTGAGTTCATGTTTGCTAATGACCTCAAAAGATAAATTTATTACTAAGGTGTTCACAGCCCTTCTGAGAATTTGCATATGATGAGAGCTTGTACTCTGAGAGAGAATAGAGATTAATATGAAGGACTAAATTACCAATCCCATCAATACAGCCGTCAATAATAAAGAACACATTTTAGGCCAGGCGCGGTGGCTCACGCCTGTAATCCCAGCATTTTGGGAGGCTGAGGCGGGAGGATCATGAGGTCAGGAGATCGAGACCATCCTGACTAACACGGTGAAACCCCATCTCTACTAAAAATACAAAAAAATTAGGCGGGCATGGTGGCAGGCGCCTGTAGTCCCAGCTACTCGGGAGGCTGAGGCAGGAGAATGGCGTGAACACGGGAGGGGGAGCTTGGAGTGAGCCAAGATGGCACCACTGCACTCCAGCCTGGGCAACAGAGCGAGACTCTGACTCAAAAAAAAAAATACGTTTTATGATTATTGATGACATAGTAAATGCTTAGTAAGTACTAGCTCTAAGGAGACTGGAGGACTTAGGGCGGGAGACAAATGACATCTGTAGCATCCCTCTATTCACATCAAATAATCAGATACCTGGGTCCAAGTTTAAATGGCACATGAAACTTGAAAAACGTGCAAAGACAAAGATACTTGAAAGTATAAGACTATATTCAAGGTGAGTTGTGCTGATAGACAGATATAGATAGGTTTAATGACAGGAGCTCAGAGACCACTCAAGTTTTGAAAGAAAATGACAAAAAAAAAAAATAAAAAAGCCTTGGCACAGTGGCTCACAGCTTTAATCCCAGCACTTTGGGAGGCCGAGGTGGGAGCATCACAAGGTCAGGAGTTCGAGACCAACCTGGCCAACATGATGAAACCCCATCTCTACTAAAAATACAAAAATTAGCTGGGCGCGGTGGCATGTGCCTATAATCCCAGCTACTCAGGAGGCTGAGGCAGGAGAATTGCTTGAACCCAGGAGGCAGACGTTGCAGTGAGCCAAGATCATGCCACTGTACTCCAGCCTGGGTGGCAGAAAACGACTCCGTCTCAGAAAAATAAAAAGACAAAAAACATGTAATATTGTAGCATATTCCAAAAGTGTGTTTTAAGGGAAAATTTAAAAATTAAAATATTTTGTTTTAAATAAACGTTACTGGCATTTTCATAGTTATTTTTGTGGCTCTATTCTCAAGGCCATTCTGATCTTTCTCTACTGAGTTTTTAATTAGGTCATACCTTGTAAAATATCTGACACAATATTAAATAAAATAGCTGAAAGAGAAAGAAAAATATAAACCACATAACAAAAACTCAATAAGCGAAGTTTTTAAAACTATAAATTAGAAAACAAACAAATAGCTTGCACTAAAGGTAGAGTGTGGAAAACCACCATTTTGAAAGTCACATACTACAATTCAGGAAACATAACATGTAGTGACATTAAAGAGGCAAATCTCATATCCAGATTTCTGCCTTGTGTTATGTATGAGCTGAGAGGAGAAAAAGATATTTTTAAAAAAACAGATTTCTGTCTTATGGATTACTGACAGAACAAGTGAATTCTCATCTAAATTCATAAGGGTAATGTTTTAAGTTACAGACTCTGAATTTCAAAAGAACTCGAAGTTTCGAATCTTCACATGGCTGATCATTTTATCACTGAATGGAGAAAATTTCAATTAAAAGGAGAATGTCTTCTTGAAGAAAGGAAACACTTGTTTAAAAAGCATTTTCTCCAATTTCTGTAAACTGAATTTCAAAAAATGTTCTAAGTGTAGACAAAATTTCAGTCAACATTTCTTGAATTATCTACATTGTCAGGCATTTTAAAACATATTTTATATAAGTTGAAATGAAGGCTGTGTTTATAACATTTATTGACATAATTTGATTCCTAAAGTGGAGCAACTGTTTTCTAAAGTTTAGGGGAAGTTTCTTTCTTATTAAAATAATAGATACTGAAGGTTGCTGAACAATCAGATGTTCACAGTCTCCATCCAGAGAAATGTAGAGAACTACAAACTTAACAAGGTAACAATTGCTATATATTTTTGCTTGGGTTTCTTATAAACAATACAAGTAGACTAAAATACTATGCATCATTTAGCAATAAATAAATGATAGTGATGTTAATGTTTAATGAATGACTAACAACTAAATTGGTTTTCAAGTGTTATGGCAGCATAGCATCAGAAATTCAATGTCACTTTAATCACAAATTTAAATAAAATTGATTCAGCACCCAAAAAATATCTATTTAATATACAGTTTATAATTCTCACTAGAAGTCAAGACAAAGTCGGCTCCAATGTTAAGGGGTTTACTTTATCAGAAAAAAAATCTGCTGGATTTCTAGAAAAATGAATAAAACTATTTGAACGGCCCCTGGGAGTAATCGATAATATCTTTCAAGAAAAAAAATTATATAAATAAATAAAATGCTAGAAAAACCCACCTTCCCAGTTGAATCTGAGGAAGCAGAGGGTTCTCCCGTTCGCTCTGTAGATCCAGCACAAGGAGAAAGGCCCGGGCTGAAGGCCATGAGGTCGGTCTTCTGCTTACCCTCGCCAGAGCACACCCTCTGCCTCCTCTGCTGCGAGTACGACCAACTCCCCACCGCGCTAGAACACACCAGCGTCGGCTTGCCAGGCGCGCACTCGCCCTCGGTGGGCATCGCCGAGCACCGCAGCACAGTGTACAGCAGCAGCGTGAGAACCAACAGGCTAGACACCGCGCAGATGGCGATGATCAGGTACACGTTGACATCCACCAGCGTCACCTCGGGGCCCGTGGCACCCACTGACGCCCGCGACGATGACTTTGGCGCCTGGCCGCTCTCCACCAGCGACACCAGCACAGTGGCCGTGGCCGTCAGCGCTGGCTCCCCGTGGTCTTTCACCAGCACCAGTAGGCGCTGGCGCGGTGCGTCCGTTTCGTCCAGGGCACGCGTTGTGCTGATCTCGCCCGTGTACAGCCCCACGCGGAACGGGATGCTCGCGCTGGCCGTTTCTGGCTGCAGCTCGTATGAAAGCCACGCGTTGTAGCCCGAGTCGGCGTCCACTGCGCGCACCTTCCCCACCACTACGCCGGCGCCCACCGACCGCAGCACCATCTCGCTCACTGCGCCGTCAGTGCCCCTCATCCGAGGTGTCAGCAGCGCCGGCGCATTGTCGTTCTCGTCCAGCACGAACACCTGCAGCGTCACGTTGCTGCCCAGAGGCGGCACGCCCGCGTCGCGCGCGCTCACCTGGAACTGTAGCAGCTCCAGCTCCTCGTGGTCCAACGGCTGCAGCGCGTACACCTTGCCGCTCTCCGCGTGCACTGACACGTAGCTCGACAGCGAGCGCTCGCCCAACCGCCGCTCCACCAGCGAGTAGGACACCAGGGCGTTCTCCTGCGCGTCAGCGTCCCGCGCAGACACCGTGAAGATGTGGCAGCCCGGCGGGTTGTTCTCCTTCACGAACACCGTGTACTCGGACTGCGCGAACGCTGGTGCGTTGTCGTTCACGTCGGCCACCTCCACAGACACCCTGGCCGTGGCCCACAGTGAAGGCGAGCCCCCGTCCCGCGCGGTAACCACCAGCTCGTAGGCGGACACACTCTCGCGGTCCAGAGCTCTGTCCAGCACCAACGAGTAGTAATTCTTGTAGGTGGACACCAGCTTGAAGGGGACGTGGGGCGTCAGGGAGCAGGTAACCTGCCCGTTGGCATCTGCGTCTAGGTCGATCACACTAATCAGGGCAATAACTGTCCCCAGTTGTGCGTCCTCTTTTACAGGAACCGAGAGCGTTTTGATAGTCAACTGTGGAGCATTGTCATTTACATCCACAACTTCCACAAGAAGTGTACAATGACCAGCCAGGGGTGGGAAGCCTTTATCGACAGCCTCGACTGGGATCTTGTGTGCTCTACTTTCTTCAAAATCCATATGTCCTATCACTGTGATTGCCCCACTTAAGGGGTCCATGTGGAACTTGGATTTTATATCTGGAGAAACATCACTGGAGAAGGAGTAAATAATATCCCCATTCAAGCCTTCGTCTAAATCTGAGGCATTGGGGTGAATCACCAGCGTTCCGATAGAAACGTTTTCTGGTAATTTCACCGTATACAGGGTTCTGTCGAACACTGGGGCATTGTCATTGTTGTCCAGTACCGTGATGAGTAATTGAACGGTGCCAGTCAGCTCGGGTTTGCCTCCATCGGTGGCCGTGAGCAATAAATGAAGCTCCGGAGTTTCTTCTCTGTCTAAAAGTTTCCGTAATACAAGTCCAAGAGGTTTTACCTGCTGGTTGCTGGTTGGCACGTCCAGGAAGAAATACTCATTGGGGCTCAGTCTGTAAGTGAGCAGGGCGTTCTCCCCGATATCTGCATCGGACGCGCCCTCTAGTGGAAACCGAGAGTCAAGCGGCCTGGATTCCGCGATGAACAGATTCTTTTGTGTCGCTGGGAACACTGGAGGGTTGTCGTTAATGTCCTTCACCTCCACGTCCACATGGAAAACCTGCAGCGGCCTGTCTACGATCACCTCCAGGTGGATGCTGCACTCCGCGCTCCGCCCGCACAGCTCCTCGCGGTCGATCCGAGAATTCACAAACAAAATGCCATTCTGCAGATTTACCTCCAGAAGGTCCCCGCGGCCTTTGGAATCCAACTGGAACAGGCGCGGCACCAGCTCCGCCAGCTCCAGCCCCAGGTCCTGCGCGATGCGGCCCACGAAGGTGCCGTGTTCGGCTTCCTCCGGGACGGAGTAGTGGAGCTGGCCGCTCCCCACCACCCACATTGCGAGGATCAGAAGCGAGAGCAGTAGAGGCTGACCCTCTGGATCTCCTCGACTTGAGTATAACATTTCAAATACTCAGTCTTCTTCTAATTAGTGAAAATTGCCTCCAAATTAGAAGAAATCATCTGATTTCGTCAGTCCCATTCTGCTGTGTTCGCCATCGTTCAGCACAGAGAGAGTGAAAAAGAATTGAGCCTCTTTCCCATGGGAAAAGGGCTGTATTTGTCTGGATTCAGAGAGAACATCGCGGCAAAGAGTGACATCACGTGGCCCAAAGTGTAAGTACATATTTCATGAATAAAAATTTCACAGTTATTCTGCAAAACTTATTTCATTTTCTTAATTTTTTCTTAAGTAATGATTGTTGAAACAGAAGATCCCGTTTCTCTTGCTGGAGCCTTCTTAGCAGACTGACTGCCTCTAAAAGTTTTGTATGACCTTGATTGTGGTTTTCTTATCCCTGAGAAAACTCTCCACTTAAGTTTTAAATAACGACAGAAATGAAGTAACAATTAAAATGATTCCATTGAGCAATCACGAATTTTAAATTACAAAATTCTTTTGTTCTGGAATTCAGAATCTCCCATATGGCTCGAAATAGGATTCTAGTGTAAGAGAAATCCAGGAGTTGCAATCTCTAGTGAATATAGGAGCCCAGAAATCTACTGATGAAAAAGAAACTTAGTCATGTCTGGTAAAAGGAATCAACAAAAAGTAGCAACCAACTGAGGTAGTTTTCTTGAGTAATTCTATGAATTGAAAAGGTATAAAATATTGCAAGAAAAGCGAGAATTGACTTTAAGGTCTTGTGTTGCGTGGGGAGAAAATATATTTTTCTCTTTTGTAGCATTTATACAATCTGTTTCCAGAAATGTGTTGTTTTGATTCTTTCCAAGCTTTATAATCTATGAATAATCTCTTCTTTGTAGTCTCCAATATAGTTTGTGTAATGTTATTACAATATGTTTTAATTTCATTATTGCTCATCCTTAGTACTCGGGGCAATTTCTGTTTTTAAAGCTATGCTTGAGATTCTTTTCCTGACTAAGTTCTACAAAGTTTTGTTGTGAGTTTTACTATCTTATTCCAACGTCCAAGTCGATTAATTAAATCTAGATTTTAGTGTATCTCAAGTCTAAAGGCAAAACCGTGAGTGTTTATTGTGCCATTAATGTTTTTGCATATTTATCTTTTATTTCGTATTTCTACTGATAACAGCCTAAGAGGTGCATTTAACAATTGCTTCTGTCCTTGATTACTGCAGGAGCTTCTGAGTTTGTCTTCCCGTTCAACCTTCTTTCAAAAGTCGTGATTTATTTTGCTCAAGGTAGTTAAATAGCTCCCAATTAATTCTAAAGAGTGGCCAAATTCCTTAATCACTCATGGCCCTTTAGTTTATTACTCAGAAATCAAGAGATCTTCTTACATTGGTTTTCCTGCTTTCATTCTCTGCAGACTGTGTGTTTTAACCAAAGTGGACTTTTCTACTTGTCATATTGATGCTTTCTGTGTCTTCAACTTTCCTTATGTTTTCTCTTTCCAAGAAATGTCTATCATTCTCAATATTCTCCCGGGGGGAACTTACTTATTTTAAAACCACTGAAACACACCATGCCCCTTCAAGTATTTCTTCAAAAATTCAAATAGGAAATGATTGTCTTTCAACTTCAACGTCATTCTGATTTACCTCTTGTACCTGTTACATTATCTTGCCTTGCATTGTGTGACTCATATTCTTTATTTGACCTCAAATTTTAAAGCCAGGGGCTGGGGCTCAGTAATAATTCCTGACATGATGATATGCTGTTAGAGATCTGTAAGGGTCCTATTTAATGTTTAATGAAGACTGGTTATTACAATCTTCTCTACTTGCTAAGAAAGCATTTTAGGCTGGGCGCGGTGGCTCATGCCTGTAATCCCAGCACTTTAGGAGGCCGAAGTGGGCGGATCAGGAGGTCAGGAGATCGAGACCATCCTGGCTAACATGGTGAAACCCCGACTCTACTAAAAATACAAAAAATTAGCAGGGCATGGTGGCATGCACCTGTAATCCCAGCTACTTGGGAGGCTGAGGAAGGAGAATCATTTGAACCCGGGAGGCAGAGGTTGCAGTGAGCCGAGATTGCGCCACTGCATTCCAGCCTGGGAGATAGAGCGAGACTCCGTCTCAAAAAAAAAAAAAAAAAAAGAAAGAAAGAAAAGAAAAGAAAAAAGAGAAAGCACTTTAAAAGGCTATTTACAACACTCTACATAAATGGTTTACTTAATTCATAGAACTACAACATAAATTGACTTTAAATCATCATCAAAACATTATTGTATACTTCTTTTTAAGAAAAATACTATTAATGGAAAGATCTCATACATACAAAGAACTCAAACGCCTACTCAGGCCTCTGCAGGATCTCAGGCAACTTTTAAATATGGGAAACATACAACTATCAAAGTAAGATAGTCTACACATTCCTTGGAAGGACTTTAACCTTTCCAAAAAACTGTTTTCCCACATAGGTGGTGTTAACTTGACTTTCCTAAACTCGTAATAACTTTTAGATTTTTTTCATTCCACCACACAACATTCAAAATATTGAAACATCCTAGGTTAATCTAAAAAATGACTTTACAGAAGATAGTTTTACACAAAAATAAGATTAATATGGAAGGCCATAACGACTTTCTGACATTTTAGGTTGCCTTTCTGCAATCACTAACTTCTTTTCTCTTAAGAATGGTAATAACTAAATTTTATTATGTACCTATCACTTGCCAGAGTTTATTATTAATAATTTATAACTATTAACTTACTTGATACAAATAAATCTATAAAGTAGAATTCACATTTATCATGCATACATATAATGCCAAGGAACTGAATAACAAATCCTTTACCAATGGCTACACATACAAAAATTGGTAAAGGGAGGACTTGATTTAGAGAGCTTCAGAATCCACAATACTTAATAACTAACTTCTGACACATTTCAATCCCAGAAATTCTTAATAGCTAAAAGCATCACCATAATTAGAATAGTGAAAAGTATTAATGTACAAGAAATAGGTTTAGACTTTCTCACTGTGAAAGCACAACCCCAAATTCAAATATCAGAGAGTTGAAGAAAAACAGAACTAAAATGACTTAAATGATAAATTGCCAAATACAATGCTAGGTGGTGGAAAGAATCCTCCTATTTATGATATTTTGTAAAAGTCAATTAAATGTTTAGGAGAATTCAGTAATTAAAGTAATACCTGAGAACCAGGTAGACATAGACAGGATAGGAAATATTACTTTCACAAAGGAAAACACATATTATTCAAACAGGATAATAAAGATAATCATATTTTTTAAAAGGACTTAAATGAAAACAATCATATTTTTTAAAGGACTAAAATGAAAACAATTCGCTTTTACACAATGTGTTCAAATAGTCAAATAAAATGCTAAACATGGACAGGCATTAAGAGAACTGTAAAATAAACTACAAAACAATGCTGCTTTGAGGTTACCTTCAGTTGGACAAGGGGGCTAAAATATGCCCATAAATGATTACATTATTTGTTCATAAGTGATTAAAAGATTTAAAACAATACTAATAACAAACTGTAAGAATTCAGAGTCCCAGAAATCGTTCATTCCCTTCCATCAATTTCTACCATTCTCTCCAAAGCAATATGCACGAAGTCTAATGGGTATTTAATATCCAGGCAGGTCCAACAGTCACAAGAAGCAAACGTGTAAAAAGACAAGAAGAAATAAAAGAAAGAAAATGTTGAAAGATACCAAAATAAAGTATCTTGGATTTTTCAAAGATTTATCCCATAATACTAAATATTTTTACACGAACTAATGGGCCATGATAATCCCAAATATTCTGTATAATAAGGATTTATAAATTATATGTTTGGTTTGCAAGAATGAAATTATCATGTATAGTTTTTCTGATGAAAACATTTTTCTAAGTCATATATTAAATATCACTTTAATGTGGAATATTATTGAAAATATTCCAACTCATGAACAAAGGGTTGAATGATTAGAGTTTAGAAGATACTTGCAAGAATAAAGTAATCATTTCCTAAACATAGAGGCTCAAAAAATGTTAAGTTGGCGACAATACAACTGTAAAAATCATGTAGAATAAAAAACATGTCTCCAAATGGTAAAATGGTCTAAATAATGAATTAAAAGAAGGATTACAAATCTCTTCCCTCTTGATTTTACTTTTTAACTAGTTTATAATAAAATTAGGAAGAATATGAAAACTATCAAATTTTGAAAAACACTATCATTCTGTATTTTATCACTACACTGCTTAAAACGGCAATAGTGAAACACCAAAGATATTTGTGACTACCAGACACTAAAAAGTCAGATAAGATGAATAAACCGAGATCTTAAAGTGAATAAAAGTAAATATAAAGACAACATATTTAAAACATGCATTTCAAAGTACAGCATATGGAGTAAGATTAAGAGTTCAGTGCCTAAGGACAAAAGAATAAACGCTTTGGGGGAATACTTTCACCAAAGATCAAAATGCCCTGAACGTCCTTAGAGTATTGTTCAGAGAAGACGGCTGTAAGGCAGGCCAAAATAAATATTCAGTAAAAAATGGATATCATCCAACCATAACTTGAGTTTCAAGATAGACCCAACTTGTGGAGAATGATTAATACTGTATTATGCCACTGAGAAAATTCAATTAATTATAAAAGGTTTCTAAAAACTAAACAATGTTTAAATTTTCACTATAAAATACGGTGAAAAACTAAATCTGAAACACTTTTAAAGTAACTACAATTTCCACAAATAGAATTTATGAGTTCTAAATTTAAATGGACTTACTTTGAGGCCATGATCAACATTTAAATCTTGCTCTTCGCCTACATCAACTGATCCCAGATCAGGAGGAAGGCAGGGGCTGAAGGCCATGAGGTCCGTCTTCGGTGGCCCCTCACCAGAGCACACCCTCTGCGGCTGTTGTTGCGAGTATGACCAGCTCCCCACCGCACTGGAGCACACCAGAGTGGGCTTGCCCGCCCGGCACCCGCCCTCAGTGGGCAGTGCTGAGCACCGCAGCGCAGTGTACAGCAGCAGCGTGAGCACCAGCAGGCTGGATACCGCGCAGATGGCGATGATCAGGTACACGTTGACATCCACCAGCGCCGCTTCCGGACCCAAAACGCCAGCCGACTGCCTCGATGACGCTTTTGGAGCCTGGCCGCTCTCCACCAGCGACACCAGAACCGTGGCCGTGGCGGTCAGCGCAGGTTCACCATGATCCTTCACCAGGACCAGCAGACGGTGGCGCGGAGAGTCCGCTTCGTCCAGGACACGAGTGGTGCTGATCTCGCCCGTGTACAGCCCCACGCGGAACGGGATGCGAGGGCTGCTTGCAGCTGGCTGCAGCTCATACGAAAGCCACGCGTTGTAGCCCGAGTCGGCGTCCACTGCGCGCACCTTCGCTACCACGTGGCCCGCGCCCACAGACCGCGGCACCAGCTTGCTCGCTGCGCCACCAGTGCCACCCACCCGAGGCTCCAGCAGTGCCGGCGCGTTGTCATTCTCGTCCAGCACGAACACCTGCAGCGTCACGTTGCTGCCCAGAGGCGGCACGCCCGCGTCGCGCGCGCTCACCTGGAACTGCAGCAGCTCTAGCTCCTCGTGGTCCAGCGGCTGCAGCGCGTACACCTTGCCGCTCTCCGTGTGCACCGAAATGTAGCTCGACAGCGAGCGCTCGCCCACCCGCCGCTCCACAAGCGAGTAGGACACCAGCGCGTTCTCCTGCGCGTCCGCGTCTCGCGCAGACACCGTGAAGATGTGGCAGCCCGGCGGGTTGTTCTCCTTCACGAACACCGTGTACTCGGGCTGCGCGAACGCCGGAGCATTGTCGTTCACGTCGGCCACCTCCACAGACAAGCTGGCGGTGGCCCACAGCGAAGGCGAGCCCCCGTCCCGCGCGGTTACCACCAACTCATAGGCCGACACTCTCTCGCGGTCCAGGGCGCTGTCCAGCACCAACGAGTAGTAATTCTTGAAGGTGGACACCAGCTTGAAGGGGACATGGGGCATCAGGGAGCAGGTCACCTGCCCGTTGGCACCTGAATCGAGGTCGTTCACGCTAATTAGGGCGATGACAGTACCAAATTGAGCGTCTTCACGTACAGGCAAGGATAAGGAAGTCAGTGCTATCTCAGGGACGTTATCATTTTTATCCAAAATTCTCACTAAAACGGTGCAATGACCCGCCATGGGAGGATGGCCTTTGTCCGTGGCGTCAATGAGGATTTTGTATAAGTTTTCTTGTTCAAAATCCAAATTACCCCGAATCACTATTTCTCCCGTATTTCGATCTATGCTAAAGTGGTCAATAACCATAGTTTCAACAAGGCTATTAAAAGAATATGAAATTGCCCCATTGGCTCCTTCATCCGGATCAGAAGCATTCAGTTTGATAACTGTTGTTCCGTTGTCTGCGTTTTCGAATATTCTTACTTCGTATTCAGACTGTTCGAAAGTGGGAGCATTATCATTCACATCCAGCACTGTGACCAGCAGCTGAACAGTGCCTGTGAGCTCAGGTTTGCCCCCATCTGTGGCTGTCAGGAATAAGTGGTGCGCAGGAGCGTCCTCTCTGTCCAAGGATTTTCTTAATACGAGCTCAACCAGTTTATTCTCATCGTTCTTTGAATTCACATCTAGCATGAAGTAATCATGAGAGCTAAGCCTGTAGGTTAACACGGAGTTAGCTCCAACATCTGCATCGGACGCGCCCTCTAGCGGAAACCGAGAGTCTGGCATTCTGGATTCTGAAACAAACAGCTTTTGGTCTTTTACCCGGAACACTGGCGGGTTGTCATTAACATCCTTCACCTCCACGTCCACATGGAAAACCTGCAGCGGCCTGTCCACGATCACCTCCAGGTGGATGCTGCACTCCGCGCTCCGCCCGCACAGCTCCTCGCGGTCGATCCGAGAATTCACAAACAAAATGCCATTCTGCAGACTTACCTCCAGAAGGTCCCGGTGTCTTTTGGACGCCACCCGGAACAGGCGCGGCACCAGCTCCGCCAGCTCCAGCCCCAGGTCCTGCGCGATCCGGCCCACGAAGGTGCCGTGTTTGGCCTCCTCGGGGACGGAGTAGTGGAGCTGGCCGCTCCCCACCTTCCAGGCTGCGAGGAGCAGAAGCAAGAGTAGTAGTCGCCAGGATCCCAGCTCTCCTCGCCAGTGATAATCCATGTTAAATAGTCGTTTCCTATCAGAAAATATTATCTTAATATAAAGATGAACGACTGTACTTTCAGAGTCTTTTAATCCAATTCCGCTGCATCTCCCGTTGTTCGGCCTTTAGAGACAGATGCTGTCAGAGAAAAGACTTTGAACATTGACCAACCAGAACTTCTTGGTAGACAGCGACATCATGTGGCTTCAAAAGGTAATGATTACATGAATTACTTCCGCAATATCTGGGTTCTTCTATGCACTTTCTATTTCTTTATCATAATTTAATAGTAAATCCTTAACTTTATCAATTGCAGAGGCATTCATACTGTCTGGCTCCTTACATTAGTTTCAGCTAGGGATTTCTTCTTCATAAGGAAAGGAATTTCTTCCCAATATTTCAAATATCGTATCAATTAATAATAAATTTAAGTATGACCTGTATGTCATGGATATCAGAAATGTAAACTGTCCTCCATAGTTTCGTGTGGAAGAAATGCATTAATATTTATTTGGTCACCAGAAACACTGGTATATATTACTCTGAGGTGAGCATATAATTCTAACTTTTCTACATTTTATCTTCTTGTGTTCTTATTGTTAAATTTTTGCTTTTCTTTATTCAATAAATGTCAAATTGCCTGAACCGTTTTATTTACTAAAGTAATAAAAATGTATGTGCATATTCTTTACACTATTTCTCTATATCTCTATAGCTTGTTAAATTCAGCCTCTCACTTAAAACATTTTCCTTTATGATTTCTCTGACATGCCAAACTCTAGCAGTATTGCCATCATTGGCTTGTTAGTTCTTCATCTTTCTTCTGCTCCAAAAAGTGAGTATTTACCAGAATTATGCCTTTAAACTTTTTTCCCCAACTTTTTATTTAACGTTTCTATTTCCACGGCTTTAAACTAGCCTATTATTTGAAGTATTCTTAACTCCATATCTGCAACCCCCTATTTTCATTTTCTACCTGACATTTTTACCTGTATACCCTAACATTGCCTAGAAAATGAGTCGACCAAAGTTAAAAGAATATCTAATCAATAATCACCCAAAACCCAAATCATTAAAAAATCACAATTTTTATAGCATAGTGATTCTCCACATTTACTCATATGTATTTTTATGACTTCTTTTCCTTTGCCTACCATATTTAAAATTTGTATACATCCCATCTCTCCTTTCACGTGTGATAATTTCTGTCCTTATTAGTACAGCTTTCACTCGATTTCACTAAAATCTTCAACAAGTTTATCTTTCTATTGACTAATTGTCAAGACATTAGACTTCCATCTGGGAGATACGCTACGTGACCATGAGCCAATCTTCTCAGTGCTAAGGCTAACCACTTTCCAATAGGAGTCATATTTTACAGAAAATATGTTGTCTCCTTCTTGGCACACTCTTTGTTCAAGGTTTTTCTTCTATTACTTCATCTTTTTCTGTCAAAATTCTATTCATCTTTCAAAGTCCACCTCAAAAGTAAATTCTCCATGGATTCATCATGAATGCCTTCATAGTAGGCAATTAAGAGCTCCTCCAAATTTCTACAAAATTCTTACCAAAAACGTAGGTTAAATAGGAAAGGCAAATAAGGGTATTTTCTGTGAAATGATTTAAATTTGTCATCACATTATTTACCCAAAAAAATCTCTGTAGTTGACTCTAAATAGTAGCAAACAATTTGTAAAGAAAATAGTATTTCTCGATATCTCAGGAGTTTGAGACCAGCCTGGGCAACATGGTAAGACCCCATCTCTACAAAAAATACAAAAATTAGTTGGGCATGGTGGTGTGTGCCTATAGTCCCAGCAACTTGAGAGGCTGAGGTAGGAAGATCACTTGAGCCCAGGAGGCAGAGATTGCAGTAAGCCCAGATTGTGCCACTGCACTGCAGTCTGGGCTACAGAGTGAGACCCTGTCTCAAAAATAATAATCATCATCATCATCATAATAATTGATGAATACAGCTTAGGTGGCTAAGGAGGATCCCCTATCAACTTCAGGTATTTCCCAATATAAATAGGATATTTAAAACTTTAATAATATGCTAGGAAGGTTTTAAATATACATGCATGTAAGCATAAAAGCAAAGCAATAAAAACAGATTACAGTTACATCTTTGAAGGTCAAAGATATTTATAGATTTTTCCACAAAACTGAATATCTTTCAACAAGAGCAGCAAACTTGGTCTGCTTATGTGAATGACATATTATGGCTTAATGGTAAATAATTCTATTGATTATCAGACAGGTTTTTGACTTTGCATACCTCTATCCTTATTCACGTTGAAAAGAAAACAGTAACATATCCTAAAATAATTTACTAAAGTATATTAGAATATTAGGAACAGTGAAAATTGTCAGTTCTGGGTTTTTATTTTATTTTATTTTATTATTTCATTTTATTTTATTTTTGAGGCAAGGTATTGCTCTGTCACCTAGGCTGGAGTTCAGTGGCATGATAACTGCAGCTTGGACCTCCCTGGCTTAAGTGATCCTCCCACCTCAGTTTCTTGAGTAGCTGAAACTACAGACATGCATCACCATGCATAGCTAATTTTACAAAGTCTCTACAAAAGATGCACAAGCTGGTCTCAAACTACTAGACTGAAGCAATCCTCCTGCCTCGGCCTCCCGAAATGTTGGGGTTAAAGGTGTGTGCCACCATGCCCCGTTAACTATCATTTTTTTGACCAACCAAATTATTTGTAAAAAATTTTTAAAAGTCTAGACAATTCGGTTATTGTTTCATTAATGTCCCTAATACAGTACTGGATGAATAAATCATGATATATCCATAAAAGAAAATAAGATGCAAATACTTTTAAAAATAAGAAAGCAAATAATCAAAAACAAGGAATAAGCGCTAATGAAATAATATGCCACAAAACCCAATATATAATTTAGGCCGGATGCGGTGGCTCACTCCTGTAATCCCAGCACATTGGGAGGCTGAGGCAGTCAGATCACTTGAGTCCCAGATTTCGAGACCAGCCGGGGCAACATGGTGAAACTCTGTTTCTACTAAAAATACAAAAAAAAAAAAAAATTAGCATGGCTTGGTTGTTGGCGTCTTTAATCCCAGCTACTTGGGAGACTGAGGCATGAGAACTGCTTGTACCAGAGAGGCGGATTTTGCAGTGAGCTGAGATTGCACCACTGCACTCCAGAGAGGGCGACAGAGTAAAACTCTGTCAAACACACACACACACACACACACACACACACACACACACACACACACACACACACTATATATATATAACTTAAAGTGGAAAACCAAAAAGTGCAGAAAGGTAGGTTTCTACTGTAATCACTTCTTTTTTTAAAAAAAAGGAAAGATGAAAGGCAGGCTGGGTGTGGTTGTTCGTGTCTGTAATCCCAATACTTTGGGAGGCCAAGGTAGGAGGATCGCTTGAAGCCAGGAGTTCAAGACCAGCCTGGGAAACAAGACTCCACCCTGTCTCTACAAAAATAAAATAAAATTAGCCAGGCACAATGACATGCAAACTGTATTCCCAGCTACTCCAGAGGCTGAGATGGGAGGATCCTGTGAGCCCAGGACTTTCAGGTTGCAGTGGGCTATAATCCCACCACTGCATTTCAGCAGCCTGGGTGATGGAGTGAGAGCGTGTCTTGAAAGAAGAAAGAAAAAAGAAAAAGAATGAAAGAAAAAGGAAGAAAGAAAGAAAGAAAGGAAGGAAGGAAGGAAGGGGCAAATTATAAAATATATATATTGGCGATTTACAATTTGGTGATTGTAAATATATTTATATAATTTGGCAATAATAATCTTGGGAATATACAAAAAAAGTAAACTGCTTCAGAAATTCAGAAAGGTAAAGTAAATGGTTTGGGGTTTGAGGAGGCAAGGAGATTTTTTACTACGTACTAGATTTCACTCTTTGAAATTTTGAATGTGAATATATTTCTTATACAAACAAGGAACAAAATAAAAAATACTATTAAACTGCCATTTAAACTATTTTAAATTGTTCATATTAATTCTTCATGAACATGGCAAATACATCTCAACAAAGTAAGTTAAAAAGAAGTCAGTGCTACACAAATATGATAAAAAGAAGATAAATAGATGTAAAAGAAATGCTTAAAATTCAAGTTCTAGACTAAAGATAAAAAGGCAAAATTGAACAGATGATTTTGACACAGCTATATTTTATAAAATGAGGACAATACATAGAATAAAATATTAGGTAACATATATATTAAATTTGTTTACTATAACATTTATAGGTATTGATTATCAAAATATGGAAATGTAAATATTTGATTTTGTAAATACACTATAGAAGAAAGGTGAATCCATTGCTCCAGTTAGCAAAGTCCTCCTCCAAAAATGGAGAGTAGCCAACATAAACCATAGATTTTGATCTATAGTATTACGCATCCCAAAACAAAAGTGTATATTAAACGTACTTCCAAATAATTAGTGCAAATACAGCATAACATTAAAAAATAATAATTATACATAAAGCTATCAACTAAAAAAGAAATTATGAAAGAAAATTTAAGGAGACCAATTGAACTAATTGTTTTAAAATTGTTGGAAACAAGATTATTTATGACTCACATTGTCTGTAGAGGATGGACCCTGAGGAAGGCTGGGACTGAAGGCCATGAGGTCTGTCTTGGGTGGGCCCTCCCCAGAGCACACCCTCTGCCGCCTCTGCTGGGAGAATGACCAGCTCCCCACCGCGCTGGAGCACACCAGAGTGGGCTTTACCAAACTACATGCGCCCTCAGAGGACGGCGCTGAGCACCGCAACGCCGTGTACAGCAGCAGGGTAAGCACCAACAGACTGGACACCGCGCAGATGGCGATGATCAGGTACACGTTGACATCCACCAGCTCGGTCTCTGGGCCTGCAATGCCCAACGATGCCCGCGACGACGCCTTTGGTGCCTGGCCGCTTTCCACCAGCGACACCAGCACGGTGGCTGTGGCTGTCAGCGAGGGCTCCCCGTGGTCCTTCACAAGCACCAGAAGGCGGTGGCGCGGTGCGTCCGTCTCATCTAGGGCTCGTGTCGTGCTGATCTCACCAGTGTACAGCCCCACGCGGAACGGGATGCTCGCACCGGCCGCCACCGGTTGCAACTCATACGAAAGCCACGCGTTGTAGCCTGAGTCAGCGTCAACTGCACGTACCTTCGCCACCACATGGCCCGCGCCCACAGACCGCGGCACAAGCTCTCTCACTGCGCCACCAGTGCCACCCACCCGAGGCGCCAGCAGTGCCGGCGCGTTGTCGTTCTCGTCCAGCACGAACACCTGCAGCGTCACGTTGCTGCCCAGAGGCGGCACGCCCGCATCGCGCGCGCTCACCTGGAACTGCAACAGCTCCAGCTCCTCGTGGTCCAACGGCTGCAGCGCGTACACCTTGCCGCTCTCCGCGTGCACTGACACGTAGCTCGACAGCGCGCGCTCGCCCACCCGCAGCTCCACCAGCGAGTAGGACACCAGCGCGTTCTTCTGCGCGTCCGCGTCCCCCGCCGACACAGTGAAGATGTGGCAGCCCGGCGGGTTGTTCTCCTTCACGAACACCGTATACTCGGGCTGCGCGAACGCCGGGGCGTTGTCGTTCACGTCGGCCACCTCCACGGACACGCTAGCAGTGGCCCACAGAGAAGGCGAGCCCCCGTCCCGCGCGGTAACCACCAGCTCATAGGCGGACACACTCTCGCGGTCCAGAGCGCTGTCCAGCACCAATGAATAGTAATTCTTGAAGGTGGACACCAACTTGAAGGGAACGCGGGGCGTCAGGGAGCAGGTAACCTGTCCGTTGACTCCAAAATCTCGGTCAAACACGCTAATCAATGTGATGACGGTACCTGGTTGGGCGTCCTCTGGAATAGGGAGAGACAGGGAAGTGAGAGTCAACTGTGGAGCATTGTCATTTACATCCACAACTTCCACAAGAACTGTACAATGACCAGCCAGGGGTGGGAAGCCTTTATCGACAGCCTCGACTGGGATCTTGTGTGCTCTACTTTCTTCAAAATCCATATGTCCTATCACTGTGATTGCCCCACTTAAGGGGTCCATGTGGAACTTGGATTTTATATCTGGAGAAACATCACTGGAGAAGGAGTAAATAATATCCCCATTCAAGCCTTCGTCTAAATCTGAGGCATTGGGGTGAATCACCAGCGTTCCGATAGAAACGTTTTCTGGTAATTTCACCGTATACAGGGTTCTGTCGAACACTGGGGCATTGTCATTGTTGTCCAGTACCGTGATGAGTAATTGAACGGTGCCAGTCAGCTCGGGTTTGCCTCCATCGGTGGCCGTGAGCAATAAATGAAGCTCCGGAGTTTCTTCTCTGTCTAAAAGTTTCCGTAATACAAGTCCAAGAGGTTTTACCTGCTGGTTGCTGGTTGGCACGTCCAGGAAGAAATACTCATTGGGGCTCAGTCTGTAAGTGAGCAGGGCGTTCTCCCCGATATCTGCATCGGACGCGCCCTCTAGTGGAAACCGAGAGTCAAGCGGCCTGGATTCCGCGATGAACAGATTCCTTTGTGTCGCTGGGAACACCGGAGGGTTGTCGTTAATGTCCTTCACCTCCACGTCCACATGGAAAACCTGCAGCGGCCTTTCCACGATCACCTCCAGGTGGATGCTGCACTCCGCGCTCCGCCCGCACAGCTCCTCGCGGTCGATCCGAGAATTCACAAACAAAATGCCATTCTGCAGATTTACCTCCAGAAGATCCCCACGGAATTTGCACACCGCCCGGAACAGGCGCGGCACCAGCTCCGCCAGCTCCAGCCCCAGGTCCTGCGCGATGCGGCCCACGAAGTTGCCATGTTTAGCCTCCTCGGGGACCGAGTAGTGGAGCTGGCCTCTCCCTGCCTCCCAAGCTGCTAGAATTATAATAAACAGCAGTAGATGTCGGCCCCCTGGGTCGTATCCATTCGGGCACACCATTTCAAATTATTGGCTTGTTTTTCTAGTCAGCAAAACTTGCCTTCGAATTTATAGGAATGTTTTTATCCCTTCATTTCAATCTCGATGTGTGGCCATTGTTGTGCATCCAAAGAGTGAAAGAGAGTGGAGCGTCTTTCCAGTGCGAAAAGGAATGACTTCCTTTTGCTGATTACGAAAGAATTTGCGGTAAAGAGCGACATCATGTGGCCATCATGTAAGTAAGAATTACAAACCATTACAAACTATTAATCAGATGAAAAGTTTTATTTCAAACTCTGAATTTTTTTCTTCATTGTTGTTAAAGGTTAAAATAGCATTTCTCATGATTGTTAGAAGCATTCTTAGGCGACTGATGGCTTTTGAATACTCAGTGTTACCAGAACTGTAGCTTCCTCATGCCTTAGAAAAACTTTTTTTTCACACAGTTTTAAATAAAGATAGAAACCTAAGTGACAACATGAATTTAAACAACTGCAAGTTTAAATTCCTTTGATCTAGATCCCAGGAAACTTCATATTCTTGATTCAGTATCGCTTGTTAAGAAAAATCCTGTACTCTTTTAGGGACCCAGGATCTCAAGAATCTACTGATTGATGAAAGAGAAACTTAGAAAGCGGTGTGTGTGTGTGTGTTTTCTTTTTAGGAGGCAAGAAACATTAGCAACTATCCAGACACTTCTCTTGGGAAAACAAAATAAGAGAAGGTTTGGGGAATCTTTGAAGGGGAAGAATTTGTATCATGTGAACTTTTTGAGGAGGAAGTATTCTGAATTTTTTGCTTTAGCAGAATCTATATATACTGTTTCAGGAGTTCATCATTTTATATTTGTTTCCTCATTCTATCCTTTCGAACACTTGTGTGTTATGAATATATGCCTATTTTTACAATCTCAAATATGATTTGTATTATTTCTTTTAAAATGTAAGTTTATTTTATTAGATAAATTTCAGTGCTCAGCCATCTCACATACAGCAGCCCTTTGATCAAGTCTTGAGGTATTTCATCCTTTTTGGATCTACCTTACTGTGTTCGTTTTCTGGAATGTTTCACTCCAATGTTCCCAATGGCATGTAAAATAATTATGTCTGTATTCAGATGCTTTCCTAAATAAGTTTTTATAATTGCTGCTCTCCTGGTGTATTGCAGTAGCTTCTTATTGTGTAACCTGTCCATTCCTATTTCATTCTCCTTCATTTAATCCTTGCAGTCATCTTCCGTTAATACTTTTTATTCGTATTGCTTCACACTTTTTGACAGCTTTCAAATGACTTTGAAGAGTGTCAAAATTACTCGTCTAGTACTCAAAGTTATACAAAAGGTTTTTCTCATATTACTTTTCTTGCTTTATATCACACTCTCTCTTATGGGAACCATGTGCTTTACCCAAAGTGGACTATTCCTCATTTCTAGGTACATTTGGAATTTTCTGTATACTCACTTAAGTTACTCTCTTCTCATGAATACCTGTTAGTCTCCATATTCTCCCAGGGAAAACTCTTTCCATTTTATAACCAGTAAAACATCATGACTCTTCACGGTCTCCTTCAACAAGGGAAAAAGGCAAAGATTTTTTTCCAATTCCAATAACACTATGATGTACCTTTCTAGCACCTCTTACAATATTCTTGCTTTTACTATCATCGTATTTATGTAGGATACTTACCTTTATTTATCTATTAAATTTGAAGCCAGGTCTTGTTAATTCGATGATTCTCAGCAGGCACAGTGTGATACTCTTAAAGACCCTCCTAGGAACTTTTTAAAAAACATTTACTCACTAGCAACGCTATAGTTCTCTACTTCCTAAGAAAGTATGCTGTTTTGAGGCTGTTAGATATCATTAGCTACACAAATGGTGATCTTCAGTATAATCAGAGACAATTCTGCCACTCTTAAGTATGTAGAGTTAGTTTTTTTAAATTTTAGTGCAATATTAATTACACGCTTAAAAATTATCATGTACTTCTTTTAGAAAACAGAAAATACCACTACCAGTTTCTGCCATTTCAAGAATGGAAAATGCTCACATTAGGAAACACAAACCACAACTCAGTCCTCTAATGGCCCTTAAGCAACTTTTAAATGTGGGCAAATACACCATTCATGCTTAATGTAGTCTAATATTTCCTGGGAACATGGACAACACAAAAAGTCAAAACCAACTCCAGGAAATCACTGAGGACTCAGCAGGTTAAATGTCTTTTGAATTCATAAAACTTTTCCACTGTCCAAGTCTTAATTCAATTTTCAACTTTGAAACACACATTTTAAATTGCTTTTAATGTAGAACATGGCATTTAAAATGTTAGAGACATCTCAGATTAAATTGGTAATTATGGCCTCACTATGAATAACAAAAATTCAATCTTTACGTAAAATGAAAACAATATGGAATCCGTAATGAGAGTTTCCTAGCATAAAATGACATAAAGTTTTTCTTTTCCTCTTCGGAAAACTAGTAGCAAATTTTTTAAGCACTTGCTATTTGGCAAACACAGTTATAAGCGCCTTACAATATCAACTTACTAAAGCTTTATGACAATTCTATCATTGAAACTAGTGTTTATCATTCCAACTTTACAGAAGAAACTGAAATAGAGGTGAAACAATCCATCCACAAAACAAAATTGGTAGCGATGAAATTTAGGCAAGGGAGGATAACACCAAAACTCACACTTAATCACTACTTTTTGCTGCTTTTCATTCAAAGAAATAATGACTAGCCAAGCATAGTGGCTCACACCTATAATCTTAGTACTTTGGGAGGCCAAGGTGGGCAGATCACTTGCACCCAGTAGTTTGAGACCAGCCTGGGCAACATGGAGAAACCCCATCTCTTAAAAAAAAAAAAAAAAAAAAAAAAGGTGGGGGGCATGGTGGTGCTCGTGTGTAGTAACTCCAGAGGCTGAGGTGAGAGAATCACTTGAGCCCAGGCATTCGAGGGTGCAGTGAGCCATTATTGCACCACTGTACTCCAGCATGGGTGACAGAGCAAGACCCTGTCACACACACACACACACATACAAAATAGTGAATAGTTTAAATTACTGTGTAGAAACAATGAAAACACTAATACAAAGAAATAGATTTAGACTCCATGAAGAGAAGACCATCAAGTGAAATTCAAACAGAAATAAGAGAGCCGCAATGCCAGAGGAATGCAGTTTTCATATAAATTTACTTGATCACAAGGTCTAAATTCTGTTGAATCACTATTTTTCCATTATTTAGATCGGTAGTAAATAAATCAATAACCATAACAACCAGAAGTATTCAGGCTGATAACTATTGTTTTTGTCCTTTATTCCTCAATGGTTTAAAAGGGGGACAATAAATGAACACTATTGCCTCCCGGAATCACAAGTCTGAAAAGGGAACCACAGATAAAAACTATGATGATCAGAGTTCTTACACAAAATGGATAAAATCAAAGCGTTAGCTTAATAAAAGTGTCGACAGAAAAACATTGAAATGGAAAGTGTAAAAACATAAGTGATACACTGGTGCTCAAATTTCAATATATGATCAAAAAAGAGTATATGTAAAAAAATTATCCTAAAGCTCAAAGGCAAACAAATGAAAATCCCATATAATTAATCAGAAAAAAATGCTACTATGATTCTGAATTAAAATGCAACAGAAAACGACATATCCAAGAATATTTTGGTTTGAAGACAAAAATTCTGAGGTGCAGATTGTGGACAGTGATTTCTAATTTCACTTAAATTATGAATATTAAAGAAGCAAAGAGATTAAAATAAGAAACACAATAAAATGAAAATATGTAATTTTGTAAAATTAATTAAAAATTAAAAACAGAAATATAGAAGACAAATATGAGGAAAACAATTATAAATTTAAAATAAAAATTAACTGTTAATTATGAAAATTCACTTACTTTGGCATCATGATCTTCATTTAAATCCTGATTCTCCGCCTTACCCATCATAATAGGACAAGGTGAAAGGCTGGGGCTAAAGGCCATGAGATCCATCTTGGGTGGGCCCTCCCCGGAGCACACCCTCTGCCGCCTCTGCTGCGAGTACGACCAGCTCCCCACTGCGCTGGAGCACACCAGCGTGGGCTTGTCCGCCGTGCACGCGCCCTCGGTGGGTGGCGCCGAGCACCGCAGCGCTGTGTACAGCAGTAGCGTGAGGACCAGCAGGCTGGATACCGCGCAGATGGCGATGATCAGGTACACGTTGACATCCACCAGCGCCGCCTCTGGGCCCGCGGCGCCCACCGACGCCCGTGATGACGCCTTTGGAGCCTGGCCACTCTCCACCAGCGACACCAGAACCGTGGCCGTCGCTGTCAGCGCCGGCTCACCGTGGTCTTTCACCAGCACCAGCAGCCGGTGGCGCGGAGAGTCCGCTTCGTCCAGGACACGAGTGGTGCTGATCTCGCCCGTGTACAGCCCCACGCGAAACGGGAAGCGAGCGCTGCTTGCCGGGGGCTGCAGCTCATACGAAAGCCACGCGTTGTAGCCTGAGTCGGCGTCAACTGCGCGCACCTTCGCCACCACTTGGCCTGCACCCAGTGACCGCGGCACCAGCTCGCTCACTGCACCACCAGTACCACCCACCCGAGGCGCCAGCAGCGCCGGCGCGTTGTCGTTCTCGTCCAGCACGAACACCTGCAGCGTCACGTTGCTGCCCAGAGGCGGCACGCCCGCGTCGCGCGCGCTCACCTGAAACTGCAGCAGCTCTAGCTCCTCGTGGTCCAGCGGCTGCAGCGCGTACACCTTGCCGCTCTCCGCGTGCACCGAAATGTAGCTCGACAACGCGCGCTCGCCCACCCGCCGCTCCACCAGCGAGTAGGACACCAGCGCGTTCTCCTGCGCGTCCGCGTCTCGCGCAGACACCGTGAAGATGTGGCAGCCCGGCGGGTTGTTCTCCTTCACGAACACTGTGTACTCGGGCTGCGCGAACGCCGGAGCATTGTCATTCATGTCGGCCACCTCCACAGACAAGCTGGCGGTGGCCCACAGCGAAGGCGAGCCCCCGTCCCGCGCGGTTACCACCAACTCATAGGCCGACACGCTCTCGCGGTCCAGGGCACTGTCCAGCACCAACGAGTAGTAATTCTTGAAGGTGGACACCAGCTTGAAAGGGACGTGAGGCGTCAGCGAGCAGTTCACCTGCCCGTTGGCACCTGAATCGAGGTCGTTCACGCTAATTAGGGCGATGACAGTACCAAATTGAGCGTCTTCACGTACAGGCAAGGATAAGGAAGTCAGTGCTATCTCAGGGACGTTATCATTTTTATCCAAAATTCTCACTAAAACGGTGCAATGACCCGCCATGGGAGGATGGCCTTTGTCCGTGGCGTCAATGAGGATTTTGTATAAGTTTTCTTGTTCAAAATCCAAATTACCCCGAATCACTATTTCTCCCGTATTTCGATCTATGCTAAAGTGGTCAATAACCATGGCTGCAACAAGGCTATTAAAAGAATATGAAATTGCCCCATTCGCTCCTTCATCCCGATCAGAAGCATTCAGTCTGATAACTGTTGTTCCGTTGTCTGCATTTTCGAATATTCTTACTTCGTATTCAGACTGTTCGAAAGTGGGAGCATTATCATTCACATCCAGCACTGTGACCAGCAGCTGAACAGTGCCTGTGAGCTCAGGTTTGCCCCCATCTGTGGCTGTCAGGAATAAGTTGTGTGCAGGAGCTTCCTCTCTGTCCAAGGATTTCTTTAATAAGAGCCCAATTTGTTTATTGTCATCACTGTTTATTTTCACATCTAGCCCGAAGTATTCGCTAGAACTGAGTTTATAGGTTAAGATGGAATTTGAGCCAACATCTGCATCGGACGCGCCCTCCAGTGGAAACACAGAATCTGGCAGCCTAGATTCGTAAATCAGCACTCTTTGTTCCTCTACCGGGAACAAGGGCGGGTTGTCGTTAATGTCCCTCACCTCCACGTCCACATGGAAAACCTGCAGCGGCCTGTCCACGATCACCTCCAGGTGGATGCTGCACTCCGCGCTCCGCCCGCACAGCTCCTCGCGGTCGATCCGAGAATTCACAAACAAAATGCCATTCTGCAGATTTACCTCCAGAAGGTCCTCGCGGTCTTTGGAGGCCATCCTGAACAGGCGCGGCACCAGCTCCGCCAGCTCCAGCCCCAGGTCCTGCGCGATCCGGCCCACGAAGGTGCCGTGTTTGGCCTCCTCGGGTACGGAGTAGTGGAGCTGGCCGCTCCCCACCTTCCAGGCTGCGAGGAGCAGAAGCGGGAGGAGCAGACATTGCTTTCCCAATCTATCCTCCGGGGTAAACACCATGTCAAATACCTCTGGTTTTATTTCCATTAGAAGATCTTCCGCATAAAGATAAAATACTGTATGTTCCGGAATTTATTAATCCATTTCTTCTGCGTCCGCCATCATTCAACAGTCAGGGAATGATGCAGTAATAGAAGAAATTTGAATGTTGGCTAGCTATAACTTCATGGTAGACAGCGACATCATGCGGCTCCAAAAGGTAAGAAATCAATTCACGTAACAGTGCTATACCATATATTTTTAAAACAGTATCTTCTTTTCTCTACTTTTATAGTAAACCCTCCTCACGTTTGTAATTTGCACGGTCAGTGTTATCCCGACTTCTTTTATTAATTTAAAGTAAGGGATCTAATTATTCACAGCTAAACAACTTTTCTACCAATATTTGCAACATTAATATCAACCAGTTCAGCAAATTTAAGTGTTAACGGAACTGCTTTTTAAATCAGAAATGTAAACTATTCTACACTCTTGGTAGAAAAGAAACTTGCCCACATCTGTCTTTCCTAGGACATGCTATTATATAGTGCTCTAGGGAAAAAATGTAACTTAAAATTATCAAATTTTGGTTGAATTTTTAAAGCCTTATAGATTATTGAAGTCCATGCTTTCTTTGTTCAATAAATATCAGATGCTCTTAAGGTTCTTCTGTGTAATGATGGAAGATAAAATTCTAGAGCATATTCTTTATCACATTTAATTTATCTGCAGCTTATATTAGGATTCTTGCTTAAAATATTTTCTTTTCATATACTTCACCACTTCAAATTCTAGTGGAATTTCTACCCATTGTGCTTTGCTGTTTTTGATTCTTCAGCTGTTCCTAAATGATCTCGTTTTTCTCTCTCAACTTCAACCCTGTCCCATATCCTTTCCTTTAATTGTTCTCACTCACTTCCAAGTTTTGAATAAGACTTTTATTGAGGTATTTACAAATCCATATCTGCATCCCTTCTTTCTATGTTTCTAATTGTCACTTTCACCTATACATGCTGACTCCTAGAAAATAGTTTGTTAAATAGCAAGGCATGAGCAATTATTAATAATCCCCAAATTCAAATTTTTAAATTCATATTTTTAATGACATGAGCATTTCCCATGTCACCTATATTACTTTTTAAATTACTCCTTTTCCCTGGCTTGCCTTATTCCACATCCACCTAAGTCCATCTGTCTTTCACATGCTATCATATTTATCTTTATGAGTACAGCTTTCATTGAATTTTACTAAACCTAGAAATTGCAAGACACTTGAGAAACTTCTAGTAACCTAATATGTAATCACATGTTAGGTAATCAACTTTTTGCAGGTTATTTTCAATTACTCTCCAATATGAATCTTATTTTTCTGACAATATAGACCACTTGCTCTTCCTCTTTCTCAATACCACCTTTGTTTTAGCTGGGTTTTTTTAATTACGTCTACAATTTACTTGCAAAAATGTTACCTTCATATAAAAGTCAGGGCCAAATATCAACTTCGCCCTTAATTTAACCTTAATGTTATCCATTTGAAGTGATTAAACCCCTCCTTCAAAGGAGAAAAATAGAGTCACCAATAAGACTTTTCAAATGACATGATCATCTTCACCTTACTCCAAAATTCTGATATACAGTAAAATGCCTCACAGATGATTGTGACACAAAGCCTTTTCTTCCATGTGAAATTCTATCTTAAAATAATTAACCTGGATCTATTTAGTAGTTCTTATCACTGACTTTCTATTGCAGTTATTTTGGGCAAACAAAGGGTTCAATTTCTTAACCAAAAACAATCCCCAAAACAAGAGGTTCCTATAAAAAAGACAAGCTGCACAAAATATACATAAAGACTTGATATATAAAGAGATATATAAATAGTTTATATCACAAAACTTGATTTTTTAAAATGTGACCATTGTTAACTTTAGATTTATAGAATGACAAAAACTATTTCTCAATTTCTAGGACTTCCTCAAAGTAGCTCAGGATATTAGGAATATATAAATAGCATGATAGAAGGGTACTTATAAAATTGAATGCATATGAGAATAAAAGAAACAGGCAAAGCAACAGAAATAGGGAATTCACATTTTATCATGTAAAGTGTGGACTATTTACTACCTATAAATCCATACTTTTCCCCTCAAAAGAGTAGACAAATGGTTCTCATTATTTCAGATGGAGAGGACACCTGTCTAGCGTAGTCTCAAACATACAGCTTTAATAAACAACTCTTTGTAAACAACTCAAGAGGGGAGTTTGTATCATGGTATATTTATTTTTTTAATCTAAAAGTAACAACAAGCAGTAAAATTTCCCAACCAAAATATAGTAGAATTTGCACAACTGAGGAGATTCACAGTTACTCCTCATCAATATAATAATTTAGGCCAGGCGCGATGGCTCATGCCTGCAATCCCAGCACTTTGGGAGGCCGAGGCGGGTAAATCACCTGAGATTAGGAGTTCGAGACCACCATGACCAACATGGTGAAACCCCGTCTCTAGTAAATACAAAAAATTAGCCAGGTGTGGGCACATGCCTGTAATCCCAGCTACTTGGGAAGATAAGGCAGGAGAATCGCT
Source organism: Homo sapiens (assembly GCF_000001405.40). NCBI lineage: Eukaryota > Metazoa > Chordata > Mammalia > Primates > Hominidae > Homo > Homo sapiens. The sequence goes on along the minus strand of NW_025791778.1, from coordinate 60,700 downwards.
TGAACCTGGGAGGCCAAGATTGTACCATTGCACTCGTTTGGGCAACAAGAGCAAAATTCTGTATCAAAATATCTGATATATATTATTATTATATATTTATTATATATATTATATAAAATATATAATATATTAGATATATATTAGATATTTTAGATATTTATATATCTAATATATATTAGATATATTGAAAAATATGCAAATTTCCAGAAAATTAAATCATTGTTCCACTAAATGTTAATGTTAAGGGAAAAATAACCAATCACATACCTACACAATGGAACACCATAGATCCAGATAAAAGAAAAACAAATCTACTTCAGTAATGATAATTCATGATCATCAAGATACATTAGTAAATGAAAAAAGCAAGATTAAAATCAATACTCATATGTTTTTTAAGGGGGTAGGGAAGTTTATTTGTATATGAAAAAAATCTCTAGAAGGATACCAGAGAATGTTTTGGCTTCATGAAGGAGGTGAAAGGGAAAATTTAACTGTATTCTTTTGCACCTTTAGAACAGTAAACCATGTATATGTGTTTCCTATTCAAAAAATCAATAAAATGAAAAATATAATTTTTAAATTACAATTATCAAATTCATCATGGGTATACAGGTGAACTGCTTAGGCAAAGTTGAAATAAACCATATGCTGCAAAAATACAATTGAAAACAAACTAAATTAGTGTAATAAAATAATAATTAATTTAAATTCAATAGAAACAAAAAGGCAAAATTGGAAGGGTGGTGTTAAAACATTTTTATAGGCCAGGCACTCTTGCTCAATCCTGTAATCTTAGTACTTCGGGAGGCTGAGACGGGAGCATGGCTTCAAACCAGGAGTTCAAGACCAGCCTGGGCAAAGTAGCAAGACCCCTATCTCTACAGAAAATAAAAAAAAAAAAAAAAAAAAAACTTTAATTAGCATGTGCATGTAGTCCAGCTACTTGGGCGGCTGAGATAGGAGGATCACTTGAGCCCAGGAGTTTCAGGCTTCGGTGAGCTATGATCAGATCACTGCAGACTAAGCAACAAAGGGTCTCTAAAAAATAACAATAAAATAAAATAAATTTTCATGTAGTCATAAACTGAAACTTTGAGAATGACTCCAAACTATGTCTTACAATTATTATCCTACATTTTTAGAGATGCAAAATTCAAATGCTAATATAAAATATTATTTTAAAAACACTTAATATCACAGAAAGCTGATGAATCTATTACCCCAGCAGAAAAGCCTCATAAAAAGCATATAATACATGAATTAGTGCAATAATTGTGTACCACAATATTTGTGTACTAAGACATAATTTTTAAATACAAAAAAAGTGGGTGAATGTGACATTTAATATTTGAAAATTGGGAGGGAAAGATGGATGTTAATATTAGAAAACTCACGTTGTCTGTAGAGGTGGGACCCTGAGGAAGGCTTGGACTGAAGGCCATGAGGTCTGTTTTGGGTGGAGCTTCCCCAGAGCACACCCTCTGTCTCCTCTGCTGCGAGTACGACCAGCTCCCCACCGCGCTGGAGCACAACAGAGTGGGCTTGCCCCGTGTGCACACGGCCTCGGTGGGCTGCGCCGAGCACCGCAGCGCGGTGTACAGCAGCAGCGTGAGCACCAGCAGGCTGGACACCGCACAGATGGCGATGATCAGGTACACGTTGACATCCACCAGGGCAGCCTCGGGACCCACAGCGCCCGCCGACGCCCGCGATGAGGCCTTCGGCGCCTGGCCACTTTCCACCAGCGACACCAGCACTGTGGCTGTGGCTGTCAGCGGGGGCTCTCCATGGTCCTTCACCAGCACCAGAAGGCGGTGGCGCGGTGCTTCGGTCTCATCCAGAGAGCGTGTTGTGCTGATCTCGCCTGTGTACAGCCCCACGCGGAACGGGATGCGCGCACTGCCAGGCGCTGGCTGCAGCTCATACGAAAGCCAAGCGTTGTAGCCCGAATCAGGGTCCACTGCGCGCACCTTCGCCACCACGTGGCCCGCACCCACTGACCTCGGCACCAGCTCGCTCACTGCGCCGCCGGTGCCACCCACTCGAGGCACCAGCAGCGCCGGCGCGTTGTCGTTCTCGTCCAGCACGAACACCTGCAGCGTCACGTTGCTGCCCAGAGGCGGCACGCCCGCGTCGCGCGCGCTCACCTGGAACTGCAGCAGCTCCACTTCCTCGTGGTCCAGCGGCTGCAGCGCGTACACCTTGCCGCTCTCCGCGTGCACCGAAACGTAACTCGACAGCGGGCGCTCGCCCACCCGCCGCTCCACCAGCGAGTAGGACACCAGGGCGTTCTCCTGCGCGTCCGCGTCCCGTGCAGACACCGTGAAGATGTGGCAGCCTGGCGGGTTGTTCTCCTTCACGAACACGGTATACTGGGGCTGCGCGAACGCCGGAGCGTTGTCGTTCACGTCGGCCACTTCCACAGACACGCTGGCGGTGGCCCACAGCGAAGGCGAGCCCCCGTCCCGCGCGGTCACCACCAGCTCATAGACCGACACGCTCTCGCGGTCCAGGGCGCTGTCCAGCACCAACGAGTAGTAATTCTTGAAGGTGGACACCAGCTTGAAGGGAACGTGGGGCATTAGGGAGCAGGTCACCTGCCCGTTGGCACCTGAGTCACGGTCAGACACGCTGATCAGAGCAATGACCGTGCTGAGTGGAGCGTCCTCTTTGACAGGCAGGAAAAGGGTGGTTATGGCCATCTCTGGGGTATTATCATTCACATCCAGGAGTTTCACTACTACTTTACAGTGTCCTGATAATGGGAATGTACTTTTATCCATGGCATCAATATTAATTTCATATGAGTTATAGTCTTCATAATCCAGTTCCCCGTTAACTTTTATTTCACCAGTATTAGAATTAATTATAAATTTGGACTTTACATCGTCAAGAACAAGATTACTAAAGAAATACACTATTTCCTTATTGATGCCCTCATCTGCATCTGAGGCGTTCAGTTTAATAACTAATGTCCCACTTGGTGCATTTTCCAACAATCTGACATTATAAATGGATTTATCAAATTCTGGGGCGTTATCATTAGCATCCAATACATTGATCAACAACTGAACTGTACCTGTTAGTTCGGGTTTTCCTCCATCAGTTGCAATCACTAATAAACGGTGTTCTTGTGTTTCTTCTCTATCTAAGGATTTCCTCAAAACCAGCTCTAAAAAGTTCGTTTCTTCTTCATTTGTTTTAACATCTAAGTCAAAATATTCGTTTGGATTTAACCTGTATCTCAATTGTGCATTTGCTCCAATATCCAAATCCGACGCGCCCTCTAGCGGAAACCGCGAATCTGGCATTCTTGACTCTAAAATGAATAATCTTTGTTCTTGTCTGGAGAACCTGGGCGGATTGTCATTGATGTCCTTCACTGCCACCTCCACATGGAAAACCTGCAGCGGCCTGTCCACGATCACCTCCAGGTGGATGCTGCACTCCGCCCTCCGCCGGCACAGCTCCTCCCGGTCGATCCGAGAATTCACAAACAAAATGCCATTCTGCAGATTTACCTCCAGAAGGTCCCCGCGGCCCTTGGACGCCACCCGGAACAGGCGCGGCACCAGCTCCGCCAGCTCCAGCCCTAGGTCCTGCGCGATGCGGCCAACGAAGGTTCCGTGTTTGGCTTCCTCCGGGATCGAGTAGTGGAGCTGGCCGCTCCCTGCCTTCCAGTAGGCAAGGAGAAGCCAGAGCAGCAGGAGCCGGGATCCCAGACTTCCTCTCCGGGAATATACCATCTCAATCTCGTTCCAATTATGAGCTTTCTATTGCATCACCACACAATGTATTTTGTAAATTCAATTCCCAATTAACTATATATTTTTTATATTATCGCCTTTCTGAGCTTCTTGGCACAGCCAAAAATGGAAGGTTCTTTTCCTTTCTGTCTAAGGAAAATCTACTCACTGTATTCCTTTGAGGCTGGGAAGGGAGAAAAACCTTCCGGTGTCCAGCGACATCATGTGGATGAAAGGGTAAGTGTTTTATTTTGTTTTGCTTTATTTAGCTTATATTCGTCAATATTTCTCAAGTATTCTCACTTTCAATGACATGATTCTTATTCTTTAAATCACTTATCTCTAGTCAAAATATATCATTAAACTCTATCTTAAAATGCGTCAATATAAGTGCGTCATTAAAATATTACAGAAAAATACATCTAAAGTCATGAAACCCCAATCCTTACTAGAGAAATTTGTGCTGGTGTATTTTATATAGGGAGGAGTTTATATATTTCCAAACTGATAAAAATAACTTTTAAGAGTTAAAGTTTTGACTTTTCTCATCTCTATTTAAACATATCTAATTAAAACTTTTGAGTTTTTTCTGTATTAGTCAATGGAATGTTTGTATGCTATCTCCGTGTTACTCATAAAACAAATTTTTATTCCAATTTCACTGTTTAATAGTGACATTTTGTTGATGTTATTTTCAAAAACAACTAAAACTATTTTAATGGCATTCTTACCTGAGTTTCTTCTCGGAGTTCTAATTTTCAAATCGATGAAAACCTATTTCTTTATCTATAACACCTATCTACTTTTTGTATTGACTCAAAAACTGTAATGGGGATATTTCAGCTTTCTAGAAATCAAAAGCATAATAGAACGACTTTGGTAAATCGTCTTTGCACTATTTTCAAATTAGAAGCATCTAGATAGCATTTCTTCAAGTTGCTATTACTGATAAAGCAATTATTAAAAATTGTAAAATACATACCTTTGTACTTACATAACAAGTCAAAATCCTAATATTGTCTATATGACATACTATTTCACAAAATGTTTAGGTTCCAGTAAATATAATCATGTTGAAAAGAATATCATTTTATTAACCAGGCTATCTTTATATTAGTTTAATTACTTTTTAATCTCCCAACTGTTTACTGGATGGTATGATTTGAACACGACCTAGAAAATTTAGTAAACTTCACTTAATAAATATGGGCAAAAGAAAATATCACCAAGTTTTCTATTGAAGAAATAGCTAACATTCTGCTTGTATATATACTCCATAAAATTCCTTAAATATTACAAAATATCCCTTACCTGTGAAGACAAGAGGGACCAAGAGATTAGCAATTCTATTGTTGGATACTTTTACATTTAAAATATAGCTTGATAAGAAAAAAGAAATTACCAGAAAATGCAAAGTCAGAGGAAATTCACTTGATTTCTGGAATTCAAACTTGTAAAGAAACAAGATATTGTCATAGAATTGTTTCTGATACAATCTTTAAAGATATATTTACCAGTTCCCTTATAAGATTTTTACTATCTCTATTATCATGACTTTTCACTAATATTTGGATCGTTGAAACACAAATCAATTTCCCAGACTATTTGCCTAATAGTTTTCATACTGATAATTTTGAAATATTTTAATACACAATGGTTAAAAACATAAGAAAATGATAATAAATATTTAGAAAACAGCATTAGCTGATGTTAGCCACTTTCTATTATATAACAGTAAATAATGTAAAACTACAAAGCTATGGAATAAATTATAGTAGAATTTTATACAAAATACACAAAGATAACCTTTGAAAAAAGTAAATATTAAGTATTTAAAAGGCAAATTAACAATGTAGTATTAACAATGTGTACATTGTAATCTGCAGAGTATTATGATAAATACTGAGTATTTTAAAAGATATACTCAATGGAGAAAAAGTCATCAACAATATCAGTTCACATGCTCCTCTCAGTCTGGAAAAAATATCTCATGTACTTATATAGATATTTCAGGAGGAAACAAGACTCTTGACTTTTGATTCACTTTCATATCTGTTAAATTATATTTACTTTTTAAATTATCACTTGCATTTGTGCTACAGTGATCAACTCTTATTTTGAATATTCCTTTCTCAGTAACTATAGATTATCCAATCTGAATTTCATGGGAGACTCCACAGGAAAAGAACATTTTAAAAAATCTTCTTCTAAGCTATTTTCTTCAATCAAATGTTACAGATTATTTTCTTGACTGATCCAGTTAACCTCTCCTTTAGATATTTCAGTCATGTTTAAGCATCATTGTGTAAACAGAAGTTCTTCCTTGAGAAAAAAATTTAGATTTAAAACTGTGTAGTATATTAAAGTGTCTCCATTTAATTCACTAAAAGCCTTTAGAAATATACTAACACAAGAAAATTTAATCTTCATAAGGGTACAAATGTCCTTTATTCCTTACAAAACCCAGAATAAAATTTTAATAAGCTATATTTTTCTTCTCTTATCTATAGAAATTATATAGATATACCAGATTGCAGAGAAGAGGAAATGTTGAAGCAATTGTATAAAAATGTATAAATAATTTATGCACATATGTCATTTGATTCTTCAAAAATTAATTCTGTATAAAAATTAATTTATTCTATTATAAGGATAGTAAGAAAGGATACCATGAGCATATAATACACATCTTAGCGCTGCCTGTATAATGAGTCACAGAGGAAGGTATAACTGCCCTATAAGGGAATGTGCTAAAATATCCATATTATATATCCTCTGTGGATAGAAAATATGAGAATAGTTCTAACATATCCCTGAGATAGTGAATATCAATGTTCATGTCAAATAATCTCACTTAATAGAAAGGGACAATGAAGCTAAATTCAAGAGATGCAATCTCAGGCATCTTTTTTATGCCTCTACCTATAGTTGATTCTATACAACTGGGTGACAAAGAGTCTCACTCTGACCGAGGCTGGAGTGCAGTGGTACAGTCAAAGTTCATTGCAGCCTCAGGCTCAAGCCATCCTCCAACTTCAGCCTCCCAAGTAGCTGGGACCACAGGTGTGCACCACCACATCTAGCTAATTTTTTTCATTTTTTGTAAAGATGGAGTCTCCCTATATTGCTCAGGCTCATCTTGAACTCCTGGGCTCAAGCAATCCTCCTGTCATGGCCCACACAGGTGTTGGGATTATAGGCATGAGCCACCATGCCTGGCCTGATTCATTATTAAATGGAGAAAAATGATAATCTCTCAGGTTATATCTGATTTTAAAATCCAAGATCAAGTGAGTGAAAACTTTGTGGGAGGAAAGTTTCTTTTGACATTAGCCAGTACCCAAGTTAGAAATATATTTTTAAAAAGGAAAATAAAATTCTAAAATGGAAAAATGCCACGATTCAAGTTAAGAATTCAATCAATGACTTTGACAGTGGCCTAGAATAACAAGATAAAATTCCTAAAGTAAAAGATGGGTCAGAATAAAACATGGATTATGAAACAAAGAGAAAAAGTGATTTAAAAACAGAAATGGCACATAAAAGACAAGGAATATGGTGAAAAGATTTAACATACATGTACTTATAGTCACAGAAGAATATAAGAGAAAATATGAAGTAGAAGCCGTATTTGAAGGCATACTGCTAAATCTTCTCTTAAACTGATAAAATATTATCAACCCACAGATATAAGAAGCTTTGAAAACTGCAAGCGAGATTAAAAACAAAGCAAATTAACACTGGGCACATGATAGTAAAGCTGTTAAAAGTGAAAAACAGAGTAAGTATACAAAGTAGCTAGACAGAAAAAAAGACACACTAATTGAACAATAAACTTGACAGCCATCATCTCAAAAGAAGACCATGGAATGTCATCTTAAAAGTGCTGGCAAAAATAACTTTCATTCAATACCCAAAACTGTTTCTCAAAAGTGATAGTAAAATTAAGACATTTCCAGATATATAAAAACGTAAAGGTTTCTTTACCAGCAGGCCACACTAAAGGAAATGTTAATTTCTTCAGAAGGAAAATGATCCCAGAAAGAAACATATATAGGTGTTAACAAAACAATGATAATAATGTACTGTGTGTCTAGAACATATAAATAATTGAAAGGCATATCAGTAACAAAAAGTAGGGTACAAGTAAATGGTATAATGATTCAAGGTCTTAGCGTTGCCTGGAATTATTAAAATTATTGATTTAATTGAGGTAATAAGTCAAGGATGTGTGTTATAATCAACAAAAGAGGAAATCAATAAAATAATTTGTAAAAGCATATATAGCTTAAAAAGATAACAGAGGTAGTGACATCAGCAAGATGCTGTTATAGGAATCCCCAGACCCTCCACAGGTATACCAACTCAACAACAATACAAGGACCAATTCCCATGGTGATAAGTGCCGAAACCAGTTAAGAGGGTCCTGGGCTCCAAGCAAGTGTAAAACTAGCTGGGCACTTTTCTGGGGCACTTTCCCTATAGTCCCATCCAGCAGCACAGTTCCATTCAAACAGGGGGAAATTCCCAGCTCCTGTCTTCTCCCTGAGAAGGGAAAGAGAAAGTAAAGCATGCATTCAGTGTTCTGACTTTTCAGGGGAGCTGTCTTGCATATCTCAGAGCACTGATGGAACCTGGCATATTCTAAAATCCTGAGGGCAGCTCAGAATAATAAAGAGCTGGGTGGCGGGCTGATGCTCCTCAGGACCTGTGATACAGCACACAGAGAGAAACTCAGCTCAGCACTCTCTCTCTCATGAGGGAAAGAGAGAGTAAAATGCATCCAAAGTTCCTGAATTTTAGTGGGCAGTCCAAGTTTCTGTCTCACTTGACTCCAGGCACTGATAGGATTCAGCAGAATCTATAACTGAGGGCTTCTCAGAACCTAAAAGAGCTGAGTGAATACTGCTGCTCCAGAGGGCCCACAGTACAGCACACAGACACCACAGAGGGAAAAAGATTAGAGCATCTTAAAAAAAAAAGCTGGCAGATCCCTCTAATTAGGAATTATACACACAAGTCCATAGAAGATGCATCCACAGAAAAGGTTTGAGAGGTCCCTAGAATCTCTAGCCAGCCTGATTAGTAAAGATCTTTCCATGTACAAATCCAGTCCATAAAGACTGGAAGAGGTAGCTGGTGTGTTGTTGTTTTTTGTTTTTTTGAAATGTATAGATATCAACACAAAGTAATAAGGAATATGAGAAAACAGGAAACATGGCCCAATCAAATAGTGCGTGCCCACACACACACACACACACACACACAAACACACCTCCAGAAACCAAACCTAAAGAAATAGAGCTATGTGAATTACTTGACAAAGTATTCAAAATAATTGTCATAAAGATGTTCAGTGAGCTCAGGAAAATAATGCATAAGCAGAATCAGAATTTCAGCAGATAGAAAATATTCAAAAGAACTAAAAAGAAATTTTGGAACTGAAGAATACAATAATTGAACTGAAAATTTTACAGACATGTTCAACAGCAGACTTAATCAAGTAGAAGAATGAGTCAGTGAACTCAAGGACACATCATTTGAAATTATCCAGACAGAGTAGCAAAAAGAGCAAGAAATGAAAGAGAGTAAAGAAAGCCTAAGAAATTGATAGGACATCCTCGAGCAGGCTGCTCTACTCATTATGACAGTTTCAAAAGAAGAAGCCATAAGAGAAAAGGACAGACAGCTTATTTTTTAAAATTACATCTGAAAACTTCCCAAATATGAGGAAGGAAATGGACATCAAGATCCAAGAAATGTTAAGAATTTAGAAAGCAGCAAAAGAAAAATGCCTCATCACGTACAAAAGAACACCCCTAACTCTACCAGTAGATTTCTCAGTAGAAACCTTGCCATCCAGAAAGGGGTGAGATGTTATACTGAAAGTGCTGAAAAGAAAAAGAACTGCCAGCCAAGAATACCAAATCCACCAAAGTTTGTCTTCAAAAATGAAAAAGAGATAAAGACCTTCCCAGTTAAACAAAAGCTGAAGGTGATCACAATTAGACTTGCCTTACAAGAAATGTTAAGAGGGGGCCTTTTGAGTTAAAATTAGGGGATGCTAAACAGAAATACATAGGTATTTTATTAAAGTATAAAGCTCACTAGTAAAGATAAATATATAGATAAAAACAGAATACTATAATACTGTAATGGTGGTACAAAAGTCACTTTAAAATCTGATATTTTAAAATCTGATTAAAAGACAAAAGTACAGAAAAACTAACTATAAAATAATGTATACACAATATAAAAAGATGTATTTATGACATCAATAACATAAAATTTGGGTAGGGGAGAAGTAAACATAATGAGTTTTGTTTTGTGATTGTAGTAAAGATGCTATCAGTTTAAAATACATTTTTATAAGAGTTTTAAAATGTAAGCCCCATGGTAACCACAAAGAAAATACCTATGGAAGATATACAAAAGAAAACAGGAAAGGAACAAAAACATAGCATTACAATTCTCAATAAAACACAAAGGAAGACAGTAAGAGGAGGAAAGAGGAGCAAAAAGTCTACAAGCTGCAAACAACAATTAACAAAGAGGCAACAGTAAGTTATGCCCTATCAATAATTACTTTAAATAAAAATGGGATAAACTCCCCCAATCAAAAGATACAAAGTGGTTGAATTGATTTTTTTTAAAGACCCAATTATATGCTAACTACAAGAGATTTGCTTTAGATTTAAAGACCTGGATAGCCTGAAAGTTAAAGGATATTAAAAAAATTTCATGCAAATTGTAACCAAAAGAGTGCAAATGTGGAAACAGCTACATCACACAAAATAGTCTTTAAGTCAAAAAGTGTCATAAGAGACAAAGAAGGACATTATATAATGATAAAAGGTCAATTCACCAGAAGGACATAGCAATTATAAATACATATGCACCCAACATTAAAACACCTAAATATATGAGGCAAACATTCACAGAAATGGAGAAATAGATAGCAATACAATAAAGTCAAGTGTTGTATAACAACGTTTCAACCAATAACAGACCACATGTACAAGAGTAGTCCCATAAGATTATAATGGAGCTGAAAAATTCCTATCACCTAGTGATGATGTAGCAGTCATAATGTTGTAGCACATTACTCACATGTTTGTGGTGATGTTGGTGTAAACAAACCTATTGCACTACCAGTTATATAAAAGTACAAGATAGCACATACAATTATGTACAGTAATTTACAGTACATAATACTTGATACAGATAGTAAATGTTACTGCTTTATGTATTTACTATACTTTTTAGTGGTATTTTACAGTGTACTCTTTCTACTTATAAAAAATACATTAACTCAAAAAAAAAAAAGAAAAAAGGTCACCACAAAACAGCCTCAGGAAAGTCTTTTGGGAAGTATTCCACTAGAAGATATTGTTATCATAGGAGATGATAGCATCGCATGTGTAACTGCCCCAGAAGACCTTCCAGTGGGACAAGATATGGAGGTGGAAGACAATGATATTGATGATCCTGACCCAATACAGTCCTAGGCTAGTATGGGTGTTTATATCTTCATTTTTAACAACAACAACAAAAAAAAACACTAAGTAAAAGTGAAAAAAATAAAAAAATTAAAAGTCAAAAAAACTTGTAAAATAAGGATATAAAGAGAAAATATTTTTGTACAGCTGTACAATGTGTTTGTGTTTTAAGCTAAGCGTTATTACAAAAGAGTCAAAAGGTTAAAAAATTTAAGTTTACAAAGTTGAAAAGTTACAGTAAGCTAAGGTTAATTTATTACTGAAGAAAGAAAAAAAATTGAGACAGAGTCTCACTCTGTTGCTCAGGCTGGAGTGCAGTGGCACGACCATAGCTCACTGTAGCCTTGACCTCCTCAAGTCAAGGATCCTCCCACTTCAGCCTCCTGAGTAGCTGGAACTACAAGTGTGTGTCACCACACCTAGCTAATTTTTAAAAATTATTTTCTAGAGACAGGGTCTCACTATATTGCCCAGGCTGGTCTTGAACTCCTGGGCTTAAGTGATCCTCCTTCCTCAGCCTCCCAAAGTGCTGGGATTACAGGCATGAGCCACCATGACCAGCCTGTAAAAAGAAAATTTTTTGATAAATTGAGTGTAGCCTAAATGTATAGTGCTTTAAAGTCTACATTAGTGCACAGTAATGTCCTGGGCCTTCACATTCACTCACCATTCACTCATTGACTCATGCAGATAAATTTCCAGCCCCGCAGTCTCCATTCATAGGGTAAGTACCCTATTCAGGTGTACCATTTTAAAAATCTGTACAATGTTTTTACTGTACCTTTTAGATGTTTAGATATATTTAGGTATACAAATACTTACCATTGTGTTACAATTCCCTATAGTATTCAGTACAGTTAACATATGTACAGGTTTGTAGCCTAGAAGCAATAGATCATGTAACCTAGGTCTGTAGTAGGCTATACTATCTAGGTTTGTGTAAATATGTAAGTACACTCTCATGTTTGCACAGTGATGAAATCTCAGAATGATACAATTCTCAGAATGTATCTCCAATGACTGTAGTAGGAGATTTTGGTATCCTACTTTCAATAAGGAATAGAACATTCAGACAGAAAATCAGCAAGGAAGCAGAGGACTTGAACAACACTATAGCTGAAATGGAACTAACAGACATATACAGAAAATTCCACCCAACAGCAGCAAATATACAGTCTTCTCAAGCACACTCAGAGCATTTTCCAGGATAAATCACACGTCAGGTCACAAAACAAGTCTTAACAAATTCAAGAAGGTTGAAATCCTACTAAATATCTTTTCTGACCACAGTGGAATAAAACTAGAAATCAATACTGGAATTAAAACTGGAAAATCTGCAAATATGTAGAAATTAAACAACAGAATTTTGAACGAAATTCTGTTCAAAATTTCATTTGAATGAAAGGGGAAATCAAAAGATGAATTAGAAAATATGTTAAGATAAACAAAAATGAAAACACAACACAATAAAAACTTACAGGATACAACAAAAGCAGTACTAAGAAGGAATATTAAGCTGGGCAAGCTCAGTGGCTCACGCCTGTAATCCCAGTGCTTTGGGAATCCAAGGCACAAGGATCACTTGCAGGGAGCTATGATCGTGCCTCTGTACATCATAGTGAGATCTTGTCTCTTAAACATGAAAACAAAAACAAAGAAGGGAGTTGTAAATGCCTACACTAAAAATGAAGAAAGAAGAAAGATCTCAAATAAAAAACTTAACAACTCAAGGAACTAGAAAAAAAGGACAAATGAGGAAGCCCAAAGCAAAGGGAGGAAATACTATAATAAAGATTAGAGCAAAAATAAATGAAAAAAAGTTTAAATTAAGTTTTTAAACTTAGTTGATTTTTTGAAAAAACAACAAAACTGACAAGCCCCTTAGCTAGACTAAGAAAAAAACAAAAAGACTGGAAGTCAGAAACAAAAGAGGTGGCATTACACCTGATGCCACAATTATAAGAGGCTTTTAAAATCATATACCAAAAAATTCAATAACCTAGAAGAAATTGATTAATTCCTAGAAACATACAAACTACCAAGACATAATCATAAAAAATCTAAACAAAGCTGTAACTAGTAAGGAGATTGAATCAGTAATCCAAACCTCCTAACAACAACAACAACAAAAGCCCAAAACCAGATATCTTTCCTGGAGAATTCTACCAAACTTTTAAAGAAGAATCAATGATAATTGTTTTCAAACTCTTCCAAAAAAAAAAAATTGAAGGAGAGGGAACACTTCCAAACTCATTTTAAAAGTCCAACAAAAAAATGGTAGTAAAAAATAAATCTTCAAAAGAAACTACAATCAGAGTGAACAGGCAACCTACAGAATGGGAGAAAATTTTTGCAATCTACCCATCTGACAAAGGGCTAATATCCAGAATCTACAAAGAACCTAAACACATTTACAAGAAAAAAACAAAAAACCCTATCAAAAAGTGGGCAAAGGATATGAACAGACACTTCTCAAAAGAAGACATTTATGCAGCCAACAGACACATGAAAAAATGCCCATCATCACTGGTCATCAGAGAAATGCAAATCAAAACCACAATGAGATACCATCTCACACCAGTTAGAATGGCAATCATTAAAAAGTCAGGAAACAACACATGCTGGAGAGGATGTGGAGAAATAGTAACGCTTTTACACCGTTGGTGGGAGTGTAAACTAGTTCAACCATTGTGGAAGACAGTGTGGCGATTCCTCAAGGATCTGGAACTAGAAATACCATTTGACCCATTACTGGGTATATATCTAAAGGATTATAAATCATGCTACTATAAAGACACATGCACATGTATGTTTATTGCGACACTATTCACAATAGCAAAGACTTGGAACCAACCCAAATGTCCATCAATGATAGACCGGATTAAGAAAATGTGACACATATACACCATGGAAGACTATGCAGCCGTAAAAAAGGGTGAGTTCATGTCCTTTGTAGAGACATGGATGAAGCTGGAAACCGTCATTCTGAGCAAACTATCACAAGCACAGAAAACCAAACACTGCATGTTCTCACTCATAGGTGGGAATTGAACAACGAGAGCACTTGGACACAGGGTGGGGAACATCACACACTGGGGCCTGTTGAGGTGTGGGGGACTGGGGGAGGGATAGCATTAGGAGAAATACCTAATGTAAATGATGAGTTGATGGGTGCAGCAAACGAACATGGCACACATGTATACCTATGTAACAAACCTGCACGTTGTGCACATGTATCCTAGAACTTAAAGTATAATAAAAATAATAAGAAGAAATAAAAATAAATCTTGACCCCTACCTCACAACAATGATAAAAATATGTATATTCCAAATGGATTGTAGATGTAATGTAAACAATGAAATAAAAGATACCACAGAAAATTATCTTTGTGAAATAGGATCAGAAGCAAAAATTGATAAATTGAGTTTAATCAAAATTATGACTTTCTATTCACCAAAAGACAAAAAAGAATTAAAAACTAGCCATGAGGTTGAAAACTACTAAAAAAAGGAGTTATGTTCAGAATACAAGATTTGTTTAAGTAATAAGAAAAACAAGATAAGGAAATAAATAAAGTTCTATGGAAGCAAAAAGAAGAGAAAAAAGAAAAGAAAAACAACAGACTAGAGAAATAGGAGATTTGAGCAGCTATTGCACAAAATAAGGTATAAAAATTGCCAAAATAAAATAGAAAGGTACTCAACTTCATTTAAATATAAAATAATTTCAAAATGAGATTACAAAAGTCACCCAGTAAAATGGCTAACATGAAAATAACCTGACAAATGTAGAGATGATGTGGCCCAGCAGAAAGCCTTATGCACTACTAGGAATGTAAACAGGTAAAAACATCTTGGAAAATTGGTTGGTGTTAGCTACAAAAGACAAAGATACACACATATTCTGTGACCCACAAACACAACTCTTAGGCAAAAACCTGAGAGAAATCTGTGTACATGGGCATCAAAGAAATGTACAATATATTTATGATGGCATTATTTGAAATAGACATTGAGGCACAATGCAAATTCCTGAACAGTAGAATAAATAAGGTATAGTATATTTATGAAATAGTACTAGAAACAGAAATAAATAAACTACAACTACATATAACAACATGGATAATTTCATAAACAATGAGTGATAAATACAAATAACACACAAATGCACAGACAATACATGTTGTGCAAGTCCAATTAGATAACGTTCCCAAAACAGGCCCCGAACAAACAGTTATAAAAGGCAAATGTGCGGTTACACTGGAGGAAAAATAAGGGAAGTGATTTGGCAGGTGCATGCGAGGGGCTTCAGCGATGGAGGCAACGGAGCTTTTCACTTTCATACAATTTATGGAGCTTTATTATTTCAGCCTGTGCACATTTGTTTATATGTAATAGGTTAAATAATAGTAAAATGTTTTCTAAAATGTTGATTATTACCAAAAACAAAGAGGGTGAATATAGTGAAAATTTACTAGAAATTACAGTTCTGTTAATATGCATTGAATAATGCAGCATAAAATGAAGGAAGGCAATATATATTGCTCTGATGTCCTATAATTCCAAAAGACTTTAGTTAAAATGGATATGTAAAAAGAGGTAAAATTTTAACCCAGGGAAATTTGACTCTTAGAAATAAATTTACGAAGAAGTTGATAGAGAAAAACAATACGAAAATTAAACAAAAGGATGTTATACACTAACCTTTGCAAAGGATTCCTCAGTTGTCTGCAGCTGATCTTCTCTGTCCCTAGAGTCAGGTAAACTGGGGCTGAAGGCCATGAGGTCGGTCTTGGGTGGGCCCTCACCAGAGCACACCCTCGGCCTCCTCTGCTGCGAGTATGACCAGCTCCCCACCGCACTGGAGCACACCAGCGTGGGCTTGCCCGGAGCGCACGCGCCCTCGGTGGGCAGCGCAGAGCACCGCAGCGCGGTGTACAGCAGCAGCGTGAGCACCAAAAGGCTGGACACCGCGCAGATGGCAATGATCAGGTATACGTTGACATCCACCAGCGCAGCATCGGGACCCACAGCGCCCACCAACGCCCGTGAGGAGGCCTTTGGCGCCTGTCCACTCTCCACAAGTGACACCAGCACAGTGGCCGTGGCCGTCAGCGCGGGCTCGCCGTGGTCCTTCACCAGTACCAGTAGGCGGTGGCGCGGAGCGTCCGTTTCGTCCAGGGCACGCGTTGTGCTGATCTCGCCAGTGTACAGCCCCACGCGGAACGGGATGCGCGCGCCACCAGTCCCCGGCTGCAGCTCGTACGAAAGCCACGCGTTGTAGCCCGAGTCAGCATCCACCGCGCGCACCTTTGCCACCACGTGGCCCACACCCACCGACCATGGCACCAGCTCGCTCACTGCGCCACCAGTGCCACCCGCCCGAGGCGCTAGCAGTGCTGGCGCGTTGTCGTTTTCGTCCAGCACGAACACCTGCAGCGTCACGTTGCTGCCCAGAGGTGGCACGCCGGCATCGCGAGCGGTCACCTGAAACTGCAGCAGCTCTAGCTCCTCGTGGTCCAGCGGCTGCAGCGCGTACACCTTGCCGCTCTCCGCATGCACCGAAACGTAGCTCGACAGCGCGCGCTCCCCTACCCGCCGCTCTACCAGCGAGTAGGACACCAGCGCGTTCTCCTGCGCGTCCGCGTCCCACGCAGACACAGTGAAGATGTGGCAGCCCGGCGGGTTGTTCTCCTTCACGAACACTGTGTACTCGGGCTGCGCGAACGCCGGAGCGTTGTCGTTCACATCAGCCACCTCCACAGAAACACTGGCCGTGGCCCACAGCGAAGGCGAGCCCCCGTCTCGCGCGGTCACCACCAGCTCATAGGCTGACACGCTCTCGCGGTCCAGGGCACTGTCCAGCACCAACGAGTAGTAATTCTTGAAGGTGGACACCAGCTTGAAGGGGACGTGGGACGTCAAGGAGCAGGTGACCAGCCCATTGACACCCATGTCTTTGTCGGACACGCTGATCAGGGCGATGACTGTACCCAGTGGAGCGTCCTCTCTAATTGGAAGTGATAAAGACTTGAATTCCAAATCTGGGACATTATCGTTGTTGTCTTCTACTTCCACAATAACTCTACAATGGCCAGAAAGTGGGAGCTGTCCCTTATCAATGCCCTCTACAATAATTTCATAGGATTTGCTTTCTTCAAAGTCAATATATCCCTTTACAATAATTTGTCCAGTAATTGGATCTATGTGAAACTTGGATTTCACATTTGGCGAAATATCATTTGAGAATGAATAAACAATGTCCCCATTCAATCCTTCGTCTAAATCTGAGGCGTTAAGTTTAATTACCAATGTTCCATTAGGAACATTTTCTAGTAATCTCACCTTATAAATGGTTCTGTCAAAAGCTGGGGCATTGTCATTGGCATCCAGTACTGTGATGAGTAACTGAACGGTGCCAGTCAACTCGGGTTTGCCTCCATCAGTGGCTGTGAGCACTAAAAAAATCTCCGGAGCTTCTTCTCTGTCTAAAGATTTCCGTAATATAAGCCCAAGACCTTTTACCAGCTCGTCATCAGGTGGTTTTTCCAGAGAAAAGTATTCATTTGGGCTCAGTCTGTAAGTGAGCAGGGCGTTCTCCCCGATATCTGCATCCGAGGCGCCCTCTAGTGGAAACCGAGAGTCAAGCGGCCTGGATTCCGCGATGGACAGGTTCTTTTGTGTTGCTGGGAACACCGGCGGGTTATCGTTAATGTCCCTCACCTCCACGTCCACATGGAAAACCTGCAGCGGCCTGTCTACGATCACCTCCAGGTGGATGCTGCACTCCGCGCTCCGCCGGCACAGCTCCTCCCGGTCGATCCGAGAATTCACAAACAAAATGCCATTCTGCAGATTTACCTCCAGAAGGCCTCCGCGGCCCTTGGACGCCACCCGGAACAGGCGCGGCACCAGCTCCGCCAGCTCCAGTCCCAGGTCCTGCGCGATGCGGCCCACGAAGGTGCCGTGTTTGGCCTCCTCGGAGACCGAGTAGTGGAGCTGACCGTTCCCTGCCTCCCAGGCTGCGAGGAGAAGAAGTAAGAGCAGCAGACGCCGGGATTCCTGGCCGCTTCCCCAGGAAAACTCCATCTTTAGTGCACAGTATTTTGTTCTGATTAAATATCGTTTCTCAAAGTCAAGGGAAATCTTTTAATCGGTCAGTCAAGTGCAGCTGCATCCTCCATATTTCAGACTCCAAAGAGTGTATATGGTTCCTTCCAGTAAGAATAGAAGGAATTTTCCCTTCTTCCTCCTTCTCTCATGTATTTTGTGGTAAAGAGCGACATCATGTGGCTCCAAACCGTAAGTAGCAATTGTGGAAACCCCCACACACTCTACTGTAAACTACTTGGTTTTATTTATTATTTCAGTCGTTTCGGAGAATAGGAATACATTTTGTACTACTGTGGTACACATTGTACCACTGATTGATTGAGTGTGGTCCTTAGTTTCGCCATAGGGGCAACTTTTACTTCAGTAGAAATAATTTTTTCAACACAGGTTTTAAGTATTACAGAGACCTAACTATACACTTTGTAAACATGTAACTGTAAACTGTTGATTAGAAAAATTCATTACAGATTCCTGTGTTCCCAAGAATTCCAGGGTTTTTTTTTATTAATGATAACACCCTCTTCACCCTAGTATTTCTGGTGTTGTTGACTTGAGGGGACTGGTCTCTAGGGAACTTCTGGTGCCAAGAACAAGCTATTGACAGGGAAATTTGCAGATGTTTTATAAAAGGATCAAAGACCATCAGCATTTAATTAGATGTCTTCCTTGAGTCATGTCAGGGCTGAAAGTGCAAGGAAGCAGGAAGTTATAGCAAATAGCTTGCATGGAAAAGCATTCCAAATAATTTTATTCATTGGAACTCATTTGCTCCCATGAGAAACGCTGGTATTCTCATTTTGACTCTTACAGTTTATAAGTACTTGCTTGTTCTCCAGTATGTAATGTGCCTAAGCTTCTATTTTCTCCTATAGTGCTTATATATTTTAGCCAAACTGAATATTTCCTGCTTCCAATAGCTTTTTTTAATAAACAAGCATGTTCATTTTGTCCTGTCTATAAGTAATCCACATCATTTCTAAACTCTTCTAAAGCCAATTTACCCCATTTTATAACCACTTAAAACTTCCCTGACCCATGAAGAATGTCATGATCAAACCAATTGAACAGGTATTTTTTCTTCTTTTACAAACTGCAGCACCAGGGTGGAATCGCGTGGGCCATTTATTACATTAATTTATCTCTTATAAGCATTTGAGTATGTGTGTCCTTTTTTGGAATATATATTTTAAAGGGAATAGTTGTATCTTAATTGTTTAATAGCTCAGAGGGACTTACCTAATATTTCCTAAATATTTACCCTGCAGAAAATGTTTGCTTCCTTCCATTGCCTAATAAAATGCATTAATTTAAGGTGATCGCATATCTAGTTGGGAAAATGTGGTGTTTCAATAGCCTCTATGATTTTCTAAAGATACAAAAAAAGTCTCTAGACATTTCCCCAATTAAGATGTATTTCAAGTTCAATGTTGAAAACTTGGGTTTTAGCTTAATTTTTATTCTAATTCTTGGTAATCATGATCTTTGAATCATCCTGGGTATTAATGGGGAATGAAGACTTCCCAATAAATAAACCACAATACATTTTCTTACATAAAGAAATTTAATATATAAAGACATAATGGTAGCCATTTAAAAACTTTCCTTGCCTCCTATATCCATAAAGTTATTTTCATCCTGTTTGTCTAAACAAAAAATCAATCTAGTGAAAATAGCTTTACGCTCCCTCTCTATTGAAGAACTACACTCACACAAACACACACACACAAAAACCAAAACAACAACAAAAAACCCACCAAATTTCTGAATCAAACAGAAACCAGAGTACTTTCACTATGTGGGGACCCAAACTATATTTTTACAAAATGATCATTGACATCAAGCACATTGGAAAAAAGGAGGAAGAATTCCATTTTCACCCATTTCATTTGTAATATTTTCATTTACCAGGTATTTTAATGTACAGATGGGGAATGCAGCAGAATAGAAAACAATGTTTATTTGGTAGCTATTCAATATTTATTTGGCATAGCATCAGTACATCTGTGAAGTGAAAATTCCAAAGTCTTCAAAATGTCTTTGCCAAGAGTCTTGTTAGACAATAGTTTCAAGAGGCAAGCTGGATTTGAAGATTGAAGTTCCATATCTGGGAAGACAAGTACTTTGGCTGACTCTATTATATTCAAGAAGCTGATAACAGAACTAAATTTTTAAAATACTGACCTGAGATGGACACACTATGGCTACTACTTCATGGACAAGGGAGCAACAAAGGATAGTGCCAAAAAAGGAAATAAAGAAAATGGAAGTGAGGGGAAGGAGAGGAGTCAAGAAAAATATCTATTTTACGTGTTAGACCTCCCACACTGTCAATGAGTATTAACCAGGTTTCAGTTGGTTACTATTTCTCTCCAGTGGTAGGGAAACTTAAATGGGAGTCCAACTAATTGCTAGAGGAGATAACCAAATATGTAGGGGTAGTGATTAGAAAAAAGTCTACCTTCAATTTCATTTGGTTCTGGTTATTTGGAGTTTTCTACTTATTGCATGGCACACATTAATAGGCAGGATGCTATTCAGAGAAGTTAACCAGTAATAACATTATAACATTGGCTTATCAAACTTATTTCATATTAGCATCCTTAGTATGGTATGCAAAAGACACTAATGAATAAAAAGTTTTGCTAGTAGGGATAGTTTTAAAATTAGATACCATAATTATTTTCAAGATATTGTTCAGATTGAAAATTATTTTTAACAAGATTTAAAACATTCTTTTAAAATGAATATATAAATATACTATACAACTATTAAATTTTCACTTCATATTGATATTTTAGTTATTAGTAATAAATTTTAACATATAATACAGTAGTATTATTAAAGTAGTATTAAATAAAGTAGTGATAAACTAAAGATGAACAAAGATGCAATTCTAAATGCAATTGTTATTCTCGATTTTTTTCCCAACTGGGAAATCAAGAAACAATAAACGGTATTGCCAAATTAGAGCACAAGGCCTAAAATGAATCATATTCAAGTAAAAAATAAGGATTGAGACTCCAAACAAGTGAATAAGAGAATAAAAGAGGTTCCATAAAAGACAACAGGTGTAATGATCTAATTTTTGAAACTGAAGGTGGAAAAGCATAATCAATAGGGAGTTATAAGCATTAGGTGAACTCATAAAATGAGCAAGTAACATTTGTACTAACAGGTAGTAGGAAGTCCAAATGAAAAGTGGCAAAAGATATTGAAGAAGCATTGTATAGGGATAAGTATAAAACAAGTCGAAGTCAGATTCTCTAAATAATGCAATTCATCTAAGAAAAAATATTTGTCTTATACCCAGGCATTTAGCAATAAAATAATTCTACTACTGCACCTAATAACAAAACAAAATTACAAGTGTGGATATCATAACTTACTGCTGATTTGGTTCAAAAATTAGCAACAAAAATCTTACCGTTTTAACCACAAAACCACAAAACTGGAAAAGTCTAATTATGAATCACATAATTCATACTTAACTATTAATGTATTTCCAGAGGAGTGGAAACATTGAGGAATGAAAAACAAAGACATTTTGGAAAGAATAAATAAAAATTACTCACTTTGGCTGAGAGATCAACGTCCACATCCTGTTTCTCCTCTCTATCCCGGCTAATTGGACAAGGAGGAAGGCTAGGGCTAAAAGCCATGAGGTCGGTCTTGGGCAACCCCTCTCCAGAGCACACCCTCTGCTGCCTCTGCTGCGAGTATGACCAGCTCCCCACCGCGCTGGAGCACACCAGCGTGGGCTTGCCCGGCCCACAGTCGCCTTCGGTTGGCGGCGCGGAGCACCGCAGAGCAGTATATAGCAGCAGTGTGAGCACCAACAGACTGGACACCGCGCAGATGGCGACGATCAAGTACACGTTGACATCCACCAGTGCAGCTTCCGGGCCCGTGGCGCCAGCGGACGCCTGGGACGAGGCCTTGGGTGCCTGGCCACTCTCCACCAGCGACACCAGCACAGTGGCCGTGGCGGTCAATGAGGGTTCACCGTGGTCCTTCACCAGCACCAGTAGGCGATGGCGCGGGGCGTCCACCTCGTCCAGGGCACGGGTCGTGCTGATCTCTCCCGTGTACAGCCCCACGCGAAACGGGATGCGCGCACCGCCGGTCCCAGGCTGCAGCTCATACGAAAGCCACGCGTTGTAGCCTGAGTCTGCATCCACTGCGCGCACCTTCGCTACCACGTGGCCCGCACCCACTGACCGCGGCACCAGCTCGCTCACTGCGCCACCGATGCCACCCACCCGAGGCATCAGCAGTGCCGGCGCGTTGTCGTTCTCGTCCAGCACGAACACCTGCAGCGTCACGTTGCTGCCCAGAGGCGGCACGCCCGCATCGCGCGCACTCACCTGGAACTGCAGCAGCTCTAGCTCCTCGTGGTCCAGCGGCTGCAGCGCGTACACCTTGCCGCTCTCCGCGTGTACCGACACGTAGCTCGACAGCGCGCGCTCCCCCACCCGCCGTTCCACCAGCGAGTAGGACACCAGGGCGTTCTCCTGCGCGTCCGCGTCCCGCGCAGACACCGTGAAGATGTGGCAGCCCGGCGGGTTGTTCTCCTTCACGAACACCGTGTACTCGGACTGCGAGAATGCCGGCGCATTGTCGTTCACGTCGGCCACCTCCACGGACACGCTGGCCGTGGCCCACAGTGAAGGCGAGCCCCCGTCCCGAGCAGTCACCACCAGCTCATAGGCCGACACGCTCTCGCGGTCCAGAGGGCTGTCCAGCACCAATGAGTAGTAATTCTTGAAGGTGGACACCAGCTTGAAGGGGACGTGGGGCGTCAGCGAGCAGGTGACCTGTCCATTGACTCCTGAGTCGCGGTCGGACACGCTGATCAGAGCGATGACTGTGCTAAGTGGAGAGTCTTCTAATACAGGTAAAGATAGTGATTGAATAACTAACTCAGGTACATTATCATTGATGTCCACAATTTCGAGTAGAACTGTGCAGTGATCTGACATTGGGGGATTTCCTTTATCCGTGGCTTCTACCTGGATTTCATATGACTTACTTTCCTCGAAATCTATGTTACCCTTTACACTGATTTGTCCATTGACTGGATCTAAATGGAATTTTGACAGAATATCTGCTGACATGTCCGTATTGAAAGAATACGCGATATCCTTATTTACTCCTTCATCCAAATCGGTGGCGTTAACGGTCACCACTAGGGTACCATTTGGTGCATTTTCGAGTAATCTGACTTTATAGATCGTCCTCTCAAACGCTGGGGCGTTGTCGTTTACATCTAAAACAGTGATCTTTAGTTGAGTCGTGCCAGTGAGCTCTGGTTTCCCACCATCAATTGCTGTTATTAGTAAATAATGCTTAGGAGTGTCCTCTCGATTTAAATTTTTTTTCAACACGAGTCCAAGGGATTTAATTTCCTCATCATTTCTTTTAACGTCCAAGGTAAAATATTCAGTGGAATCAAGACTGTAAGTCAACAACGAATTTGTTCCGATATCTGCATCTGATGCGCCCTCTAGCGAAAACCGAGAGCCAGGCTGTCGGGATTCGGAAATAAACAGATTCTTTACAGCCATTGGAAAAACTGGCGCGTTGTCATTAATGTCCTTCACTTCCACCTCCACATGGAAAACCTGCAGCGGCCTGTCCACGATCACCTCCAGGTGGATGCTGCACTCCGCGCTCCGCCCGCACAGTTCCTCGCGGTCTATCCGAGAATTCACAAACAAAATGCCATTCTGCAGATTTACCTCCAGAAGGTCCCCGTGTCTTTTGGACGCCACCCGGAACAGGCGCGGCACCAGCTCCGCCAGCTCCAGCCCCAGGTCCTGCGCGATGCGGCCCACGAAGGTGCCATGCTTGGCCTCCTCAGAGACGGAGTAGTGGAGCTGGCCGCTCCCCACCTCCGAGGCTGCGAGGAGCAGAAGAGAAAGCAGCAGGCACTGGGCTCCAGGATCTTCTCGCCAGGAGAACAACATTGCAAGTATTTTCCAAATATTAGATTGCCTTTACATTGATCCAAAGTTTAAAAATAATTCGAGTTCCTTATCTTCATTTCTTAAACTCCTCGGTGTTAAATTTTAGAGAGGATGAAGCAAAGCAGTATCTGAATACGTAATGCACGCTGTTATTTCTTTTGTGGAGAAAGACCTTGTGGTGGACAGCGACATCATGTGGCTAAACGTGTAAGTATTAAATATGTAAACGTATCTTCTTTTCCTTGTATGTCGTTTGAACTTTCCCAAAATTTCTAGTTTCAATTGTAATATCCTTCGGTCACTCCTCAAAGTCCTTATATTTTATCTAAATATTTCCTTAGAACTTTTATACTAATTCACTATCAATTGTGCTAATTCATGACATACACTAAAATATTGTGATTCCTGTTTTAACAGTGGACATCTATTGGAAATATTTCCCATGTGACAGCCACTTTTCTATTTGTCTTAATGGAATTATCCCGTTAAATTATCACAATCCTCTGAAATAAGTTTTAATATTATTCGCTTTTTATAAACACATAGAGGTTAAGTAAAACGATATTATCTCTTGGTACGATGGGATTTCAATCTGATTCAAGACAACTTACCATTAACCTCTTTACCACCCAAGTTACATTTTATAGAAAAATCAGATCCTTTCAGATTTATGATCATCAAAACATTGAGATGTTGAAGTATTTAAAAGTGTGTGTGTGCTGTATATATTAAAACATACATATATCTACTTTTATGTTATTACAGCAACTGTTAATTTCTTAAAATATGTACATTTATGGTTTTTTAAATTTGTAGAATGTCTGTAATTCCCTCCCATGCCCCTTTTTCAAGAACTATAGCCTCATCAACTGTCTTGACTGTAACTTACATAAAGATTTCAGAAGTCGGTCCTTTACAGAGAAATTCAAACAGGAAATTTGTTTCCTATTGTGGGAATGTGATTTGTATATTTGTTACACTCACATCA
The DNA here is from genome assembly GCF_000001405.40 of Homo sapiens. Classification (NCBI taxonomy): domain Eukaryota; kingdom Metazoa; phylum Chordata; class Mammalia; order Primates; family Hominidae; genus Homo; species Homo sapiens. The sequence goes on along the minus strand of NW_025791778.1, from coordinate 35,385 downwards.
CATCAATTAAGAATATATTAGGTTTAATTTTTCCACACTCTTTATGTATTTGAATTTACCTGTATATACTAAAATGTTAACAATATAAAGTAATTACGTTTTTGATGATCTCCACTCCTGATGAATTTCTAGATTCCAGTTTTTTTAAAAGTTGTTACTTGAAAGAATTGATTATTTAACTAAACAGTGAAGGGAGAAAAGTAACCTAGGAACATAAGCCAGTATTTACTCAACATATTTAACACTAAGCAATAAAACATTCTAAAGATATCTGTGAATTCAATGAGAAGCATGAATTCTCGCCGCATTTGGAAGTGGGGCAAAGAAAATTTATGGAAAGAGGTCAAATTTAGAGAAATAAAATAATGTACAAATTTTTGCTTATACCCAGACCATTTAAAAATGAAATCAAACATGTGATTTAAATATTTAGGGGAAAAGTTTTCATTTCAGCTTTTGTTTCCTGTGTATTCATGAAATGGAAGCCAGGACTGCAACTTACTCAGATTTTATCATTCATATTTAGAATAGGATAAATTATCAATTGTTGTTTTCATGAATAAATAAATTAATATTTTGAATTAACTTTTTCAAGCAAGATAAATAAAAATGTAAGTTAATGATATTTGTTAATATCAAACTTACATAATTTCTAAATGATTATATTGTGCTATATTATGAAGAAGTAAGTAAACATTTAAGCATTATTTCTGAAAAGCATGGACCTAAGAAATAATTATAGCTATTAATATTCCAGTTACCACTTTGCTGAATTTTTAAAGATGGTAGCTAGTTTGAAAATAAGAGATAAATTTAAAATTTTTAAACTTCATGGACTTCATAGTAATGAGATGCCTTTGACAACTTATTGTAATACTGCACTTTTCAGTACCTTTAAGAGTTATACTAATTGCAAAATGGAATGTCACATGAGAATTTATAGCAGAGTAGACTCCATACTGATTATTAAGAGATAAAGGTAATATTAAAGGAACTATGAGTTTAGAAGATTGAGCCATTTTGTAGATAAAGTATCAGTGAATAATTTCTACTACCACCTAGATGTCACTTAGACAACCAAGAAAAAATGTAAATAAGAATGTTTTGAAAAAACTTATAGAGCAACAGATTGTGACTCCTGGAGATTTGGATATATGTGAATATAATTTTAGAAGCTTATCATTTACCTATGGTAGAAACATAGTGGTCAAGTATTACTTGGAAATGGATATTCTGACCTAACTATGAAATGGCTAAAGGTAAGATCACTAGTGGAAGTTATTTCTATGATTTATCAATATGCACATATATTTAGAATAAACAGCAAATAACTAAGAACTAAATAGTAGAGGACCGTTTAAGACAGTTATTTTATTGCAATACATCTGCCTTTGGTTGGAAAAGCTAAAAAAGTTCTTTCCAAGTGTAACATTTACTTGTCGAGTTCAGTGTTATAATTACCCAAAATAAATGTTTCAAGTGAAAATGTAGTCATCCAAGACCAGGCCTCATCTTTTGGAAAAATTCCAATTTCATTAGGAATATGGATGCTTCCAGGTAAAATTGAGTGAGCTCACATTAATGGAAAATGTATTCCCACGCATAGAATTAGATGCCAGAAAAAAGTAGTCAATCTCTGCAGTGGGAGGCCTGCACACATTGGCCTAATGATAATGATACTGAAAGGATGATTTATCAACCATTAACATAAAGACTGGGTAGTCTCCACTTAAATGAAGAAAAAGTCCCACCACCTGAAAAACCCCAGTGTGATTTTTAAATGTTAATATTTTCAAATTAAACAAAATTGAGAGGGTCTCTTTTCTCAATACTCTCTATTTTTGCCTGATAACTCAAAAATGTTATCAGTGTGAAATCTTTATACCAAATAATGGGTTATTTTACTTATAAAAAACATACTTAAGATTAGCAGTTATTCCTAAGTGCTGTCATTTTGTTGTAACAACCTGTGCTACATACTTTTGGAAATTCTGGTGTTAAAATATCCACTCAGGCTGCTTTCAAATACAAATAAAAAGACCAGGTGCAGTGGCTCACTCCTGTAATCCCAGCACTTTGGGAGGCCTAGGAGGGTGGATCACTTGAGGCCAGGAGTTTGAGACCAGCCTGGCCAACATTTAGTTGAGACCAACCCCGTCTCTACTAAAAATAAAAAATTTAAAAAAGAAAATAGCCGGGCGTGGTGGTGGGCGCCTGTAATCCCAGTTACTAAGGAGGCTGAGGCAAGACAATCACTTGAACCCGGGTGGCAGAGGTTATAGTGAGCTGAGATCACACCACTGCACTCCAGCCTAGGTGACAGAGCAAGACTGTCTCAACAAAAACAAACAAACAAAAAAAAAATGTAGCTTATTAACTATTGCATAGACAAGGGCATTGTTGATCCAAAGAACAATCTAAGAAATGTCCAGGATATAGGTTATTCCAAACACTATCCGACAGATTGGATAGACAGTGTCAGTTGAAAATACGTATTATATAATCAAATTCTTTAATTTCTTCCGATTGTGATTTTCAATTTTTAAGAGAGAAAATATTTATGGGAAATGTTTAATTTACAAATTTTGCTGAGGTGTTTTTCAGTGTTTCATGGTCTATTACTTATGACTTAATGATGGAAGTGCCAAAATGTAAAAATAAGAAAACAGTTATGTAGATTGTTTAAATAAATTGTTCAGTAAATGCAATAAATTGATCTCTAATTCATATTCAAAATCGCACGGTAGGATGATATAAAATAAATGAAGAACTATGAATCTAAATAACTAGTAGAAATCATATAGAATTTTTTAAAAAGAACAATTTTAGAATTGGCAAGAAAAAGTAAAAGACTCACCTTTCCTACGTATTCTGATTCTGAGAGCTGTTTCTCTTCTGCGGAGTCTGGACCTTGAGATAAGCTAGGGCTGAAGGCCATGAGGTCCGTCTTGGGGGGGTCCTCCCCAGAGCACACCCTCTGCCGCCTCTGCTGCGAGTAAGACCAGCTCCCCACGGCGCTGGAGCACACCAGCGTGGGCTTTCCTGGCGCGCGCGCACCCTCGGTGGGTGGCACCGAGCACCGCAGCGCAGTGTACAGCAGCACCGTGAGCACCAACAGGCTGGATACCGCGCAGATGGCGATGATCAGGTACACGTTGACATCCACCAGCGTAGCCTCTGAGCCCGCGGCGCCCACCCACGCCCGCGACGAGGCCTTGGGTGCCTGGCCACTTTCCACCAACGACACTAACACGGTGGCCGTGGCTGTCAACGCTGGTTCGCCGTGGTCCTTCACCAGCACGAGTAGGCGGTGTCGAGGGGAGTCAGCCTCGTCTAGGGCACGTGTCGTGCTGATCTCACCCGTGTATAGCCCCACGCGGAACGGGATGCGAGCGCTGCCAGTACCCAGCTGAAGCTCGTACGAAAGCCACGCGTTGTAGCCTGAGTCAGCGTCCACTGCGCGCACCTTCGCCACCACGTGCCCTGCACCCACCGACCACGGCACCAGCTCACTCACTGCGCCAGCAGCGGTGCCAGCCCTAGGCGCCAACAGTGCCGGCGCGTTGTCGTTCTCGTCCAGCACGAACACCTGCAGCGTCACGTTGCTGCCCAGAGGCGGCACGCCCGCATCCCGCGCGCTCACCTGGAACTGCAGCAGCTCCACTTCCTCGTGGTCCAGCGGCTGCAGCGCGTACACCTTGCCGCTCTCCGCGTGCACCGAAACGTAGCTCGACAACGCGCGCTCGCCCACCCGCCGCTCCACCAGCGAGTAGGACACCAGCGCGTTCTCCTGCGCGTCCGCATCCCACGCTGACACCGTGAAGATGTGGCAGCCCGGCGGGTTGTTCTCCTTCACGAATACTGTGTACTCAGGCTGTGCGAACGCCGGCGCGTTGTCGTTCACGTCGGCCACCTCGATGGACACGCTGGTGGTGGCCCACAGTGAAGGCGAGCCCCCGTCCCGTGCGGTCACCACCAGCTCATAGGCTGACACGCTCTCGCGGTCCAGGGCGCTGTCCAGCACCAACGAGTAGTAATTCTTGAAGGTGGACACCAGCTTGAAAGGGACGTGGGGCGTCAGGGAGCAGGTGACATGTCCATTCGTACCAGAGTCGCGATCCGACACCGTGATGAGAGCAATGACAGTGCCCAGGGAAGCGTTCTCTGAGATGGGAAGTGAGAGAGACGTTATTGAGACTTCTGGTGTGTTATCATTGATGTCCACAAGTTTTAATGAAATTTTACAATGTCCTGACATTGAAGGGGTTCCTTTGTCAGTTGCAGTGACCTGAATCTCGTAGGACTTTGCTTCTTCATAATCTAATTTTCCCTTAGTTCTGATTTCCCCTGAGATGGGATCTATGGTAAACTTAGTCTGTATAGTGGAGGACACATCACTACCGAGTGAATACACAATCTCGCTGTTCGGTCCTTCATCTGCATCAGAAGCGTTTAACTTAACCACTAAGGTCCCATTTGCCGTATTCTCTAACAATTTTACTTTGTAAACTGATTGGGCAAAAGTTGGTTCATTGTCATTTACATCTAATACCTTAATAAGTATTTGAACGGTGCCCGTGAGCTCAGGTTTGCCCCCATCAGTAGCCACCAGTAACAAATTAACCTCAGCAGTTTCCTCTCTGTCCAGCGATTTCCCCAGCACGAGAGACAAAGATTCGCTTAGTTCATCATTTGCCTGTATATCTAGGAAGAAAAACTCACTGGAGCTGAGCTTGTAGGAGAGAAGAGCATTTACTCCTATATCTGCATCAGATGCTCCCTCTAGAGGAAACCGAGAATCAAGCAGCCTTGATTCGGGAAACCGGATAGTCTTTACTGTCATTGGAAATATTGGCGGGTTGTCGTTAATGTCCTTCACCTCCACTTCCACATGGAAAACCTGCAGCGGCCTGTCCACGATCACCTCCACGTGGATGCTACATTCCGCGCTCCGCCCGCACAGCTCCTCCCGGTCGATCCGAGAATTCACAAACAAAATGCCATTCTGCAGATTTACCTCCAGAAGGTCCCCGTGTCTTTTGGACGCCACCCGGAACAGGCGCGGCACCAGCTCCTCCAGCTCCAGCCCCAGGTCCTGCGCGATGCGGCCCACGAAGGTGCCGTGTTTGGCCTCCTCGGGGACGGAGTAGCGGAGCTGGCCGCTCCCCACCTCCCAGGCTGCGAGGAGCAGAAGCGAGAGCAGCCGTGTCCAGGCCCCTCGGCCCCTTCTGATAGAAGACGCCATTACCAATCCTCAATGTTTTGATCAAATTAGAAGAGCATGTTTTGCAAAAATTTAAATATTCTAGTCTCTGTTAAAGTCCTGCTGCTTCTCTTATTCCTCCGCTTCTCTGAAGTAACAAAGGGGCTCTGGGTATTTTCCTTCCTAGAGAACACTCTATGGTGGACAGCGACATCATGTGGCTAAAAGGAAGGCTCTACTGTTTATTCTGTAGATTTAAAACTAGTCGATTTTCTGGTTTAAGTTTACTCATAGCTTTCATCTTGGAAAAAAATAACTATTTTAAGCCCTAAAATATATTACCTTTTTACCCTTTTTTACTCTGGTTAAAAAACACACAACATAATATTTAAAATTACCATATTAACTATGATTAAATGTACATTTCAGTAATGTTAAGTATATTCACATTGTTACAAATTTTTCATCTTGGAAAACAGAAACTCTATACCCATTAGACAACAACTCCGCTTTTCACCGTCACTCCAGTCTCTGGTAACCACAGTCCTATTTTCTATTTCTATGAATTTCACTACTTTAGATATTTCGTGTAAGTGGACTCGTAAAGTATTTGTCTTTTTGTGACTGGCCTATTTCACTTAGCACAATGTCCTCAAGGTTCATCCATGTTGTAGCATGTGACAAGATTTATTTCCTTTTTAAGGCTGAATACTAGTCCATCGTATGTATACACCACGTTTTGTTTATTCATTCAAGCATCCGTGGATGGTTCCTCAAGGTTCATCCATATTGTAACATGTGACAGGACTTCTTTCCTTTTTAAGGCTGAATAATAGTCCAACATATGTATACACCACGTTTTGTTTATTCATTCAAGTATTCGTGGACATTTGAGTTGCTTCCATTTCTTGACTGTTGTGAACAGTGCTGCCATGAACATGGGTGTGCATATATTTCTTTGAGACCCTGCTTTCAATTCTTTTGGATATATTAGCATTTTTCACTATTTCTTCAAATGAAGAACATAGTAATCAAAGGTATTTTAGTCCATTGAAAATATATGTGTATATATACTGTTGTTTTGTGATTTAATTTTGATTTTTGAATTGTTTGCAAATGTTTTGAAATTAATAATTTATTTGTTTCTCATTTGGATAATGTACTATTACTTTAGAATATTCCTTTTCCATTACATTTAGACTTTTATGCAAGAACAATACAATCGATCTCTTTTTTTGTGTTAATTACTTGAGAATATCTTCTTTTGTTAATTTTTAGCTGATCCCTTCACAGTAAAAAAATGAAAATAGAATAAAGATAAGATGAGGATGAAATAAAATGAATCAAGGAGTGGGATAGCATACAAAATCCATAATAAAGGGTCACCTTCAGTTACTCTAACCATGTCACCAATTTTGTTTTCAGCTTCCTAGAGCAAAGAGAGAAGTAAAATTAATTGCAAAATTTGCAATGTCCGTAAGAGAAAAGCAAAGCTCTTGTTAAGAAAAGCTAGCTTTTTTTCCAATAACAATTTTTTTCCCTCATGTACAGTATCTTAAGATACTCATTTGTACCATCTATGGAAATGTGTATTTATGTTAATCATACTCTAACAGTAAATCCCAAGTTAACCGATTTAAGCAAAAATAAACCAGAGAATCCTGTACTGACTCATACATGGAAATGGGTAATTAATTACTGGTTTCAGACAGAGCTGGGTCTACACCCTTCCATAATTCCATAAGGAAAATAATCTCCACATTTATAATTCCTTTTCCCCTGCTGAACTTCTTCTCAGATAGACTTTTCCCATCTGCTGGCAAAATGGCCAAAGTAGCTTTCTAGACTAAAAATTACCAGTTTGATGACTCTTACCAGAAAGTGCTCTTTTCTAATAGTCCAGCAAAAATCCTGGATATTACTTCCTACAGCCCAGTTTGGATGATGTAAATTTCCTTTAGTCAATAATTGTGATTTTTCTCACATTGGCTAGACATGGGTCCACTTGCTCATTCTTGAAGCCAGGAAATGAAATCAGCTCCACCTAAATTATGTGAACTGAAAAGTGGGAGGTTGGTTTTTATGTGAACTGAAAAGTGGAGGTCATGGCATGTACCCAAATTCTCCTGGAGCTTAAACAGATGGCAGATAGCTTCAGAACTGCTCGTTACAGCATTATGTAGTTGCAAAGCAATTGCATATGTATGATACCCAGTAATTATTATTTAATCTATAGCCAACATTGACCACTGTTGACACATAGAAGGAATTATACCTAGAATCCAGATGCTAGCTTCAGGAAACATGGCTTGCTTGAGACAATTTCTGCAATCATATAAGGTAATTAATTATACCGGATATTCAGAATGACATATGTGGGGGTATAAGAGGCATTTTGTGCTGTTATTTAGGATTTCTGAGAATATGGAATATTTCCCCCTTCCCCCGGAGATAGAATACTATTGCCAGATATGCAAGTACATTTCCCCCACAACGGGGAAAAGAGATTAAGAAGCCATGCTCAGCAAATATCCTTCCTCCCACTGCACTTGATATCTCTTGGTACCTGTTTTGGGTCAAAGATACCCCAAAAGACATCACTTTTCTGAGGTTTAAATAAGTGACCTTATTTGGAATAAAGGTCTTTGCAGATGTAACAAAGATGAGGATCTTGATATGAGATCATCCTAGATTACAGAAGGCCATAAATCCAATGATGGTTGCCCCTTATAAAAGACAGAAAAAGAGAAGGCATATAGTAACACAGGAAAGAAGGAAATGTGAAGACAGAGGCAGGAACTGGAGTTATGCTGCCACAAGCCAAGCAATGCCAAGAGCTACCAGAAGCTGGAAGATCCAAGAAAAAAATTTCCCCTAAAGTCTTCAGAAGAAATGCGGCCCAGGAAACACGCTGATTTTGGACTTCTGGCCTCCATAAGAGAGAAGAAATTTATTCTTACAGAGACTCTGTAAGAAAATAAATTTCTGTTATTTCAAGCCACCAAGTCTGTGGTAATTTGTTGCATCAGCCCAAGGAAATTAATATAGTACCCATTGCTAAAATTATACCCTTTGCACCTATCTATGGAACTGTATATCCCTTAACGTTTACATGTCCAAGCACTCATTCTTGCAAAACCTTCAACCTAGTCTTTCACAAAACTACTAGAAGACCCCAGAAGAAAAAAACAACAAGGGGAGTGGATGCTAAGCAAGAAAAAAGAAGGAATATCTATGACATTTTAAATTTCAGTTTATTATTTTTCTTCTGCTACCTTTTATATTTAAGAAAAAGAAATCAAAACACAGTAGATTTTTTCCATGGAATTCAAGTTATCTAATCTGCTTAACGGTCAGATGTCTTAGTAAAAAGTGTCAACAATAATGTTCTCCTACAGTTGTATTTCCTGTTGTAAAAAAAATGCCCCCCTCTTAAAATTTATCTGGTTCATATTAGCTTAATGGCAGTGGGACCTCAATACATATGCTGTTGTGAGTTAACATTCAGTTTTTCCTCTAAAATAAACATAATTTTATTTCTTGCTGCTGCAGAGTCCTTTGTAGTTATTGGGGACTTCCTATGACAGCTTTTCTCCACATGTTGGCTCAGCATCCTGGATTGCTTTGACTTTATGGTGTCTCAGTATCAACCAGTGCTTATGTAATTGCTGTAACAGGAAAAGATAGCAGAAGAGTCTTTCACTGGCAGTTACATAATTCTGCTTGGAAGTGACACACCATTCACATTTCATTGGCCAAAGGAAATTACACAATCGTGCTACCTCAAAATAACAGAAAAGTGAAATCCTCCAGCATTCTCAGAGGAATATCGGTAGTGGCTAGCAATATAAACTATTTCTCATTTTCATCTATTTGCATCCTTCACTGACCACAAGTCTCTAAGGTCCCTCAAATGATACCTTACTAGTTTGTGGATGAAATCTTGTGAAGAAAGATAAACCTGTTGAAAGTTGTGTTAACTATATGAAGATTTGGAATGGAGCAAGAACTTTAACTACCAATGGGAAATCCATTCATATTTACATTAAAATAAACACTAAGTGACAATACCACTCCACAATCATTTTTTCCTCCATTCTAGAATTACCTTTTCATAAAAATTACTTTTCAAATTTTGTACTCCTACGCCCATTTATTTTTGGTTTAATAGTAATTCACTATTATTTGTGATTCACCTTCAGGTTAATACACTCAACTAACCTAGAAAACTAAATAAAGAAATATTGAATGTATGTAAAGGCAATCCTAAGCCTGGCCATTAATACTGTTAGCAAATGAAGCTTTGGGGACACAGTAATGTGAATTGGAAAGAGAAATTATTTTGTGATTTTCTGATCTATTTTTTCCAATTTTATAATCCTGCAAAGTTTGTCTCATATTTTGAGGAACTGGGACATTTTCTTGGCAACGTGATGCTAAGATTATTTTTTTCTGATTCTTGCCAAAAGGCTGAGTACGATAATATATTAAAAGTTACAGAACATGTTTACAGCCTATTTTTTACAATACTCTAAGCAACAACTCTGTATCAACTCAAATCTCTGGAAACTTAACTAGCAAATTATATTAATTTCTCATAGAATGTCTTCACAAGGGGACATTCATGTATGTTTGAAAGTTTGACAAACAAAAATATATTCATTTAATATTTAAGTAACTTCAGAAGCAAACATAGGAAATAAAATTTAACATTATGCCCTTGACTGAATGACTACCAAATACAATGATGTCTACATCAAGGATATTTCCGTGGGTTTTGCAAAACTGCTATAAAACGTGCTGCCCAGTATATTTCTCAACCTTTACACAATCATCAGTAATCAAATCTTCCTTGATTTTGTAGCAGGAAGAGGCTATTTTTTCTCTCTTGAAGAAATGGTATAGAGAATTTCCTTTTATTGTTATTTTTTCATACTTCTATATTGACTTACAGGAAGGTAAGTATTGGGATTTTCACTCAGCCTAGGCTTGATTTTTGAAATAATGACTCCCACCTTTCTCTTGATCTTTTACTTTGACCTTAAGCAGATTTTTTAATAATTTGCTTTCACAAATTTCTTCCACTGTAAGCCACCTTAAACATTTTAGGAAAGGTAAAGAACTGTATTAACAGCAAGCAAGTTTTTGGATATCCTCGGGAAATTTGAAGAAAACTTAGTAATAATACTGAACTTAGGTTTTGCGAGCCTCAGCACCTTTATCCACAAAATGTGACGAAAGTCTTCACTTCATAAAATCGTTGGAAGGATCGAATGAGCTAAAAAAGTAAAGGGTTTTAGAACATTTGTGAGTGAATGGGAGGAATGGGAGGTGCTTAATAAGTGTTTCCTAACTGGATCCCCGAAATAGCAAATACATGCAATGCTAAGCCTTCTAGACCCAGGGGAATTCAAGGTTAATGGCATCAGGAAATTGTTCACAATGACAATGAAGTCGTGGTTGTATGTTTTCATAAAGAAATTAAACAAATCGCCCAATAAATGGTGTTTTTTGTTTGTTTGGTTGGTCGGTTTTGGTTTGTTTTTGTTTTTGTTTTGACAGAGTCTCACTCTGTCGCCCAGGTTAGAGTGCAATGGTGCGACTTCGGTTCACTACAACCTCTGCCTCCCGGGTTCAAGCGATTCTCCTGCCTCAGCCTCCCCATTAGCTGGGATTACAGGCGCCCACCACCAGGCCTGGCCAATGTTTTTGTATTTTTAGTTGAGACGGGGTTTCACCATGTTGTCCAGGCTAGTCTCAAACTCCTGATCTCAGGTGATACGCCCTCCTCGGCCTCCCAAAGTTTTGGGATTACAGGCATAAGCCACCGCCCCCAGCCAATAAATGTATTTTAAATTACGTTTGCTTAAAACTTCAGTTTATTGTTCACTTTGAAACTTAGCCACGTAAAGGGAAGGCAGATGATTTCTGTAACTTTGTCAAGAATTGTTTGTCCGGGGCTTGACATTTCACCAGAAAAGATAACATAATAAGTTACCCCGAATATGTCACTGTTATTTTACTACATTGAGATATTGTGTTAAATATGACCAACATTACCTTTTATTGTACCTTGTATTGTAGCTTTTTTAACCTGCCATTTAAATCAAGAAATACGACAATTTGTCCCTACATTTTTCTTTGCTTTCTAGTTCCATTCAAGACAAAACTGCCATTAATAGGATATCTACATTCAATGGTATGATTTATTTCAACGTTAGTGAACACCTTGAAGACATTTTTTAAAGTGATATTTGAAAAGATGATTAGACAAGTTAAATATGAAAAATATTTAAAGCCAAAACTCGAAAGTTGGACTTACATTACCAGAAAGATCCAAATTTGCTTCTGGTTGTTCATTTCTTTCTGACGTGTTAAGACTTGGAGATAGGCCTGGGCTGAAGGCCATGAGGTCGGTCTTGGGTGGGCCCTCGCTAGAGCACACCCTCTGCCGCCTCTGCTGTGAGTTCGACCAGCTCCCCAACGCGCTGGAGCACACCAGAGTGGGCTTGCCCGGCACATACGCACCCTCAGTGGGCGGCACTGAGCACCGCAGCGCCGTGTACAGCAGCAGTGTGAGCACCAGCAGGCTGGACACCGCGCAGATGGCGATGATCAGGTACACGTTGACATCCACCAGCGCCGCCTCTGGGCCCGCGACACCCACCGACGCCCGCGAAGACGCCTTTGGCGCCTGGCCGCTCTCCACCAGAGATACAAGCACAGTGGCCGTGGCTGTCAGCGCCGGCTCACCGTGATCCTTCACTAGCACCAGAAGGCGGTAGCGCGACAAGTCAGCCTCGTCCAGGACACGAGTCGTGCTGATCTCGCCCGTGTACAGCCCCACGCGGAACGGGATGCGCGCGCCGCCTGCTGCCGGCTGCAGTTCATAGGACAGCCACGCGTTGTAGCCCGAGTCGGCGTCCACTGCGCGCACCTTCGCCACCACATGACCCGCACCCACCAATCGCGGCACCAGCTCACTGACTGCACCAATAGTGCCACCCACTCGAGGCGCCAGCAGCGCCGGCGCGTTGTCGTTCTCGTCCAGCACGAACACCTGCAGCGTCACGTTGCTGCCCAGAGGCGGCACGCCCGCATCCCGCGCGCTCACCTGGAACTGCAGCAGCTCCAGCTCCTCGTGGTCCAGGGGCTGCAGTGCGTACACCTTGCCGCTCTCCGCGTGCACTGACACGTAGTTCGACAGCGCGCGCTCGCCCACCCGCCGTTCCACCAGCGAATAGGACACCAGCGCGTTCTCCTGCGCGTCCGCGTCCCGCGCAGACACCGTGAAGATGTGGCAGCCCGGCGGGTTGTTCTCCTTCACGAATACTGTGTACTCGGGCTGCGCGAACGCAGGCGCGTTGTCATTCACGTCGGCCACCTCCACGGACACCCTGGCCGTGGCCCACAGCGAAGGCGAGCCCCCGTCCCGCGCGGTCACCACCAGCTCATAGACCGACAGGCTCTCGCGATCCAGGGCGCTGTCCAACACCAACGAGTAGTAATTCTTGAAGGTGGACACCAGCTTGAAGGGGACGTGGGGCATTAAGGAGCAAGTCACCTGCCCGTTGGCACCTGAGTCACGGTCAGACACGGTGATGAGGGCGATGACGGTGCTGAGTGGAGCGTCCTCTCTGATAGGCAAATACAATGAAGTGACCGCCAGTTCTGGAGCATTATCATTTACATCCAGCACTTTCACCAAAACCTTACAGTGATTTGACATCGGAGGACTTCCTTTATCAACTGCCTTTACTTGAATTTCGTAGGATTTTGTTTCTTCATAATCCAGTTTATCAATTAACCTAATTTCTCCTGAGCTGGAATCAACTTTGAATTTTTCTTGAATGTCACGAGAAATACCACTGTCAAAGGAAAAGACGACTTCACCATTTACACCTTCGTCAGCATCAGAGGCATTTAATGTGGTCACTAATGTTCCATTTGCTGTAGTCTCTAACAAGTGGACTCTGTATACGGCCTGGTCAAACAGTGGGGCGTTATCATTAACGTCGAGGACGGTGATCAGCAGCTCAACTGTACCTTGCAGCTCCGGTTTGCCCCCATCAGTGGCAGTCAGTAATAAGTGAAGTTCTGGTGTTTCTTCTCTATCCAAATATTTTCTCAATTCAAGCCAAAGAGATTTACTCAGTTCATCACTTGCCTCTACATCCAAAGAGAAATAATCACTCGGGCTGAGCGTGTACGTTAGAAGAGCGTTAGCACCAATGTCTGCATCAGCAGCTCCTTCTATCGGAAAACGCGAATTCAGGAGTCTAGATTCAGGAATAAATATTATTTGTTCTCTGCCCCTGAAGACGGGTGGATTATCGTTAATGTCTTTCACCTTCACCTCCACATGGAAAACCTGCAGCGGCCTGTCGGCGATCAACTCCAGGTGGATGCTGCACTCCGCGCTCCACTGGCACAGCTCCTCGCGATCGATCCGAGAATTCACAAACAAAATGCCATTCTGCAGATTTACCTCCAGAAGGTCCCTGTGTGTTTTGGACGCCACCCGGAACAGGCGAGGCACCAGCTCCGCCAGCTCCAGTCCCAGGTCCTGAGCAACGCGGCCAACGAAGGTGCCGTGTTTGGCTTCCTCCGGGATCGAGTAGTGGAGCTGGCCGCTCCCCACCTCCCAGGCTGCGAGGAGCAGAAGCCAAAGAAGCAGATCCCGGGCTCCCAGGCCCCCTCTCCTAGAAAACACCATTGCAAAAGGACTACACCTTTCTTATGCTCTCCTCTTACTTCAAAATCATGCCATTTTATCTAATATTTCCAATCATTTATCTCTTTACCGTTTCTGTCTTCTCTCAGGCGGTGACAAAATGGAGCTTCCTCCTTCACTTTTAGTGATCAGTAGCTCCCTTCTATTGACAAGACTTTGTGGTGTACAGCGACATCATGTGGCCAATGTAAATTTTAGATCCATTCGTTGATTTTCAAAATGCAATCTATATCCGTCTGCAATTTGTTAAATGCAATCATTTTCAATTTTATGTCCTTTTAAGACCCAGAACATTTCAAATCTCATTGGAGAGTGTGTAATCCAGTATTTTCTTTTAGTAATGATTACAAACATATTACAATTGAATTAGAAACTTTAAGATCTACTTAACCTCTCCTTACATCATTTTATTTAAAACGATTTATCAGCTTATATATTTTTATTATTAAATATTTGCAACTGAATGTCAAAGTTTTAAAATAAGGTAGTTTGACTGATATGATTCACCTTATTCTAGGATAGCTTGGGTGTTTTTTTTTAAATGATATTATACACACACACGTACATATGCACATGTATATATAGTTATCAGGTACTTACAGATGACATTTTTGGAAAATTTCTGAACACATGTAAAATTCCTTTAATGTGGTATGAACAACTTCATCATTTTCTGATACTTTAACTGTTAGAATAAAGATATTTGTGACATTTTCCCTTGTTGTTATATAACATAATGACCTAAGTATTGAACTTATAACTCTGACTTCCAAAACTCAGTATTCCTAATTGAATCGGTGTCCACTAGATCTTTTATTCCTATGTTAAATTTTCATCCATGCTTTTTTCTTATCAAGACCAAACATTGTCATATTACAACAAAAATCATATGGATATTGAATCGCAATATCAGAGACACGTACTGAGAATCTTTATATAATCCATAGTCAAAAGAAAAATGTAAATCTTATGCAAAGATATATTTAAAAAATAATTTGAGAATAACCTACCTATTAATAAACCTCTCTTTCAATTTCAGTCCAATTCATAATCAGAATCCCATAGCTACATCTTAGTTTGACTAAGAAATGTGATCAGAATAAGCTATCACTAGTTTTTTTTTAAAGGAATGGCCATAATGTTTATATTTTAAGTACTAAGAATAGTTAAGGACATTAATGTGAATAAGGATTATTTAATCCAGTATGTCTTCATAATCAGAAAGCCTAAATCCTTGTTTACTTGATAATTAAGATATAGACAAAACATGGAGCTATTTTATTTTTAACAAGCAGTTTATATATTTTAACAGTTCAATGTAGTAATTACTTTATTACAAAAGATAGAGCAACATAAGATACATGAATATTCTCTTAGTCTAAAAGTGAAGCAAACTTTAAACTTGGAAACATTCTAAAGGTTAGCAGATTTAGAGAACATTGTCAACATTTGGAAGTGCAAAATACTTTAAAGTGTTATAAATTTTGAAGACTGACACAGTGGTGAAATCTCTGGGTTTTTGCCTTATCTATTCCAGACTTGGACCAGAAGAAGCCAACAACCAGAAACATTATTGGGTACTGATGCAAAAAGCTCAAAAAAAAAAGCATGCTTTCTCTAGACAAAGGACCAGGAAATAGGCAGCCTAGCAAGACAAAAAGCTCCTAGATAATCATTTACTCCAGGTAATCACCACAGAAAAAAACTGTGGCCCCACACCAGCAAAAGTTGAGTGGGGAATCTAGATTAACGCTCTTGCAAAGCTGTTAATGAGGAATCCCAATACTTCTGGTGGTATCAGATCAGGCCAAAAAATGAAACTGAGACTTTCATTCCCCCAACTGCTAGCAAGCTCCACAGTTGTGGTATCAGAGGAGACCATGTGGACAGCCTGGACTGTGCAGAAAATAACACGGTGCCACCTCCCCCTCTCTGCTGGGGTGGTGCATTAGTCCATTTTGCATTGCTATAAAGGAATACCTGAGGCGGGTAATCTATAAAGAAAAGAGGTTTATTTGGCTCACGGTTCTCCAGGCTACGTAAGAAGCATAGTGCCAGCATCTGCCTTTGGTGAGGGCCTCTGGAAGCTTCCAATCACAACTGATAGCAAAGGGGGAGCCAGCATAGCTCATGGTAAGAGAGAGAGAAAACAAGAGAGAGAGGGAGGAGGTGCCACACTCTTAAAAAATATATATCATGTGAACTCATAGAGTGGTAACTCACTCATTACCAAGCACCAAGCCATTCATGAGGAATCCGCCCCCATGACACAAACACCCACAACTAGGTTCACCTCCAACATTGGAGATCACTTTTCAACAAGAGATTCGGAGGAGCCAAATATCCAAACCATATCATTCCACCCCAGCCCTCCAAATCTCATGTCCTTCTCACATTGCATAATCCAATCATTCCTTACCAATAGTTCTCCCAAAGTCTTAACTTGTTCCAGCACCAACTCAATCAAAAGTCCCAAGTCCCATCTGAGACTCAAGGCAAGTTCCTTCTACCTAAGAGCCTGTAAGATTTAAAAAAAAAAAAAAGATACAATGGTGGTACAGGCATTGCATTGGGTAAACATTTCCATTCTAAAAGGGAGAAAACAGCCAAAAGAAAGGAACAGGCCCCACACAAATCTGAAACCACACAGGGCAGACATTAAATCTTAAAGCTCCAAAATAATTATTGACCCCATGTCCTGCATCCAGGGCATACTGGTGCACAGAGCAGACTCCTAAGGCATTGAGCAGCCCCACCTCCATGCCTTTGTAGGGTGCAACACCCATGGCTGATATCATGGCTTGGAATTGAATGCCTGCAGCTTCTCCAGGCTCAGGGTGCAAGCTGCTGGTGGCATTCTCATATTATTCTCGGATCTAGAGGATAGCGGCCCCCTTCCCACAGCTCCATTAGAAAGTATGCTGGTGAAAACTCGGTGGGAGAGCTCCAGCTCCACATTTCTCCTGGGAATTGCTCTAGTAGAAGTTCTTTACAGGAGCTCCACCCTATGGCAGGCTTCTGCCTAGGCATCCAGGCTTTCTGATACATCCTCTGAAATCTAGGTGGAAGCTGCCAAGCCTCCTTCACACTTGCATTCTGTGCGCCTACAGGCTTAACACCATGTGGAAACCATCAAGGTTTATGGTGGCCTGCACTCTCCAGCGCAGTGGCCAGAGCTGTACCTGTGGCCTGTACCTGTACCAGCTGGAGCCAAGGCAGTCAGGATCCTGGGAGCAGTGTCCCAAGGCTTCACATGCCAGCAGGGCCTTGGGCCTGGTCCTCAAACTCATTCTCTCCTCCTAGGTCTCTGGATCTGTGATGGGAGGGACTACCTGGAAGATTTCTGAAATGGCTTAGAGGCCTTTTCCCCATTATCTTAGGTATTAGCACTTGCCTCCCTTTTAGTCATGCTAATCTCCATGGCAAGTGGTTTCTCTGTAGCCCTCTTGAATCTATTTCCTGAAAATGCTTTTTCCTTCTGTTACTACGTGGCCAGGTTGTGACTTGTCCAAATTTTTACACTCCACTTCACTTTTAAATATAAGTTCCAACTTTAAGTCATTTATTTGCTCCCATATCTAATCATAGGTTGTTAGAAGCAGCCATGACACATCTTGAATGCTTCACTGCTTAGAAATTTCTTCCACCTGGCTGGGCGCAGTGGCTTATGCCTGTAATCCCAGCACTTTGGGAAGCCGAGGTGGGTGGATCACGAGGTCAGGAGATCGAGACCATCCTGGCTAACACGGTGAAACTCTGTCTCTACTAAAAAAATACAAAAAAAAAAAATTAGCCAGCCGTGGTGGCAGGCACCTGTAGTCCCAGCTACTCGGGAGGCTGAGACAGAAGAATGTCATGAACCCGGGAGATGGAGCTTGCAGTGAGCCGAGATTGTGCCACTGCACTCCAGCCTGCTAGAGAGCGAGACTCCGCCTTAAAAAAAAAAAAAAAAAAAAAGAAGAAAGAAATTTCTTCCACTGGATATCCTAGGTAATCATACTTAAGTTCAACCCTCCATAAATCCCCAGGACATTGACACAATGCAGCCAAGTTCTTTGCTAAGGCATAACAAGAGTGACCTTTGCTCCAGTTCCCAATAAATTCCTAATTTCCATCTGAGAACTCATCAGCTTGGCCTTTGCTATCCATAGTTCTATCAGCATTTTTGTCACAACCACTTAACAAGTCTCTAAGAAGTTCCAAACTTTCCCTCATCTTCCTGTCTTTTCTGAGACCTCCAGATTCTTCCAATCTCAGCCCGTTACCCAGCTCCAAAGCTGCTTCCACATCTTCAGATATCTTTATAGGAACACCCCAGTCTTTGGTACCAATTTTCTGTATTAGTTCATTTTGTGTTGCTATGAAGTAATATCTGAGACTGGGTAATCTATAAAGAAAGGAGGTTTATTTGCCTCATGGTCCTGCATGCTGTACAGGAAGCAGGGTGTTGGCATCTGCTTCTGGTGAAGGCCTCAGGAAGCTGCCAATCATGGCTGAACACGAAGGGAAAACCAGCATATCACATGATTAGAGAGAGAGCAAGAGGAAAAGGAAGGAGATACCACACTCTTTTAAGCAACTAGATCTTGTGTGAACTCACAGAGTGGGAGCTCACTCACTACCCCAAGAATAGCACCAAGTCATTCATGAGGGATGCACTCTTATGACCCAAACACCTCCTGATAGCCTCAACTCCAACATTAGGCATCACAATTCAACATGAGATTTGAAGAGGACAAATATCCAAACCATATCAGGTGATGTCAGAGGAGGTTTTAGTGGAGAGCCAAGACCTTTCACCATGTGATAACAAGGGCATCTCTACCTTAGTGTCTATGGAGAACACATGGTGGGGCCAAAACTTCCACCCCACCTAGAAGTATAGAGGACATGTCCATGCATTTGTCAATGTAGGCCTATGGGAAACTTGGGCTTTATCTTCAAGTGACAGTAATGAGGTAGTGCCAATGCTCTCTCTGACAGAACAGTGTCAGGAGAAACTAGCTAAAATAGAATAAGTAAGCTCTAGAGTCTCAAAACATGATATAAAAATGTTCAAGTTTCAATATGAAGAAATTACTCATTATTCCAATAACCAAGAAGATAAATTAAATTTAAAAAATAACATACCAATGCCAACAATGAGATGAAAGAGCTGTTAGAATTCTGTGATAAAAATTTTAAAGCAGTCACCATGAAAATGCTTCAATGAGCAATTGCAAATATGCTTGAAACGAATAAAAAAATAGAAACCCTCAGCAATGAAACAGAAAGTCTCAGCAAATAAATAGATGATGAAAAGAACCAAATGAAAATTTTGGAAAAAAGTACAATAACCAAAATAAAAACCCAAATAGAAGAATGGAGTGGTCAAAAAAGAGAATAAGGAAACTAAAAGAAAAATAGAAAATACTGAATCTGGGCAGGGCACAGTGGCTCACACCTGTAATCACAGCACTTTGGGAGGTGAAGGTGGGAGGATTGCTTAAGCCCAGGAGTTTGAGGTTATGGTGCAGTATGATCATGCCACTGCACTCCAGCCAGGGCAACAGAGCATGACCCCATCTCTAAAAACATAACAAATAAGTAAATAAATAAAAATTACGCAATTTGAAAAACAGCAACAAAATAGACTAAAAGAATAAAAAAGAACAGTACCTTGGGGACATGTGGGAACTTAACAAAAGCTCCAACATTCATGTCAGTGGAGTACTGAAAGAAAAGGCAAAGGAGACAAGGCTAAAAATAACTCAAAAAATGGCTAAAAAGTTCCCAAATTTGATAAACAATATAGAGAGGTGAGTGAACTCCAAAGACTCCACACCAAGGCATATAACAGGCAAACTTTTGAAAATAAATGAAAAAGAAAAAATCTTAGGCTAGGTGTAGAGGCTTGTGCCTGTAATTCCAACATTTTGGAAGGCCAAAGTGGGAGGATTTCTTGAGCCCAGGGGTTCAAGACCAACCTAGGCAACATAGTAAGACCTTGTCTCTACAAAAAATAAACAAAATTAGCTGGACATGGTGGCATGCACCTGTACTCTCAGTTACTTAGGAGGGTGAGGTGGGAGGATCACTTGAGCCTGAGAGATCAAGGCTGCAGTGAGCCAACACCATATCACTGCACTCTAGCCTGAGTGACAGAGCAAAACCCTGTCTCAAAAAAAAAAAAGAAAGAAAGAAAAGAAAAGAAAAAGAAAGAGAAAAAAAAACTGACTAAGTGAATCAAAAAAAGACCCAATTACATGCTGCCTATGAGTATCTCACTTGAAATATAAAAATACAGGGAGATTAAAATTAAAAATGTAAAAGCTATATCAACAAGCAAAATGTCTTGAGCATCCCCAAAACCTGTTGCCATGACCTTTGCTTTTTGTGTGTGTTGGGACCTTTGCTTTTGACCAGCCTGCTTTTACTTTGACTAGGCCATTTGCACCTCTTGGTAGCATTGCTTTGATTGTGCTTTGTCTTCAAGATCATACTGCTAAAGCCATGTGTCATCTCCTGTTACAGTTCTCCAAAGAAAGTATTCAGAATCTTGATCCCATTGTTTAAAATTTCCATGGAAACTCAGTTCTCATCTGCAGCTGATCTAGGTGCAATGGTTTTGGACCCATTGAGGAGAAATTTGCTCAACTTTAATTTTTTAGTCAGAAGTGATCAAAGGAAAGCAGAAGCATCTATCAAATAGAGTTCAAGACAAAGATAACTACCGGTATATAGAGGAAAATCAGGCCAGGAGCGGTGGCTCATGCATGTAATCCCAGCAACTTGGGAGGCCAAGGCGGGTGGATCATTTGTGGTCAGGAGTTCAAGACCAGCCCGGCCAACGTGATGAAATCCCCTCTCTACTAAAAATACAAAAATGAGCCTGGCGGTAGTGGTGCGCGCTTGTAATCCTAGCTACTTGGGAGGCTGAGGCAGGAAAATCACTTGATCCTGAGAGGTGGAGGTTGCAGTGAGCCGAGATCACACCACTGCACTCCAGTCCGGATGACAGAGTGAGACCCTGTCTCAAAAAAAAAGAGAGAGAGAGAGAGAGGAAAATTATAAATGATAAGGAGTCAATCCACCAAAAAGACATGGCAACCCTAAATGTGTATGCACCAAACAACAGAGCTGTGAAACAAAATCTCATAGAACTAAAAGGAGAAACAGATAAATCCACAATTATAATTGGAGACTTCAACAATTCTCTCTCAACAAATAACAGAACAACTAAAAAGAAAATCAGCAAGAATATAGAAGAACTCAGTAACATCACTAACCAATGGAAACTAATTGACATTTATAGAACACACTATTCAACAATCACGGGCTGAGCACAGTGGCTCACACCTGTAATCCCAGCACTTTGAGACACTGAGGCAAGCAGATCACTTGAGGTCAGGAGTTCGAGATCAGCCTGGCCAACATGGTGAAACCCTGTCTCTACTAAAAATACAAAAATTAGCCAGGTGTGGTGGTGCATGCCTGTAGTCCCAGCTGCTTGGGAGGCTGAGGCAGGAGAATCACTTGAGCCCGGGAGGTGGAGGTTGCAGTGAGCCAAGAGCCAAGATCATGCCACTGCACTCCAGCCTGGGCAACAGAGTGAGACTCTGTCTCAAAAAAAAAAAAGAGAGAGAGAGAGAGAGACTCCATCATCTCAAAAAAAAAAAATTTCAAAATACACTCTTCCAAGTGCCAGTGAAACATATCTCAAAACACATCTTGCCCTGAGTCATAAAACAAGCCTCAGTAAATGTAAAAGACATGAAATCATACAGAGTGTGTTCTGTGACCACAATGGAATCAAAGGAGAAATCAATAACATAAAGATAAAAGAAAAATATTCTAACACTTGGATGTTAACGTATCTCTAAATAATCCATGGGCCAAAGACGATGTCTCAAAGGAATAAAAAAAAATACATGGTATGAGGTAAAAAAAATTTAATTTAAAAAATAACACCAATACTAATCTCTCCCAGAAAATACAAGAGGTCTTCAAAAAGTTCATGAAAAATGCGTACTATGAAAAAATATGCATGAATTTAAATAAAGTTTGCATCATAATAAACTTGTATTAACTTGTTATAACATGTCTGAGCAGGATCTAGTTTAAGCCACAAAGAAGGATAGGACTTCCGTTTGAAAAGACTCCCGATTAGAGCAACATGAATTCACTAAAATTGAAGCAAGAACAAACATCAGATTTATGGTGAAGCTTGGGTGGAAGAATAATGAAATCATTGACACTTTATGAAAAGTTTATGAGGACAATGCCTCAAAGAAATAAGTAGTGTACAAATGAATAACTTGTTTTAAGAAGGGATAAGATGATGTTGGAGATAAAGCCTGTAGTGACAGGCTATCCATATCATTTTATAAGAAACAAATTAGTCCTGTTCATACCGTAATTGAACAGGGCCAATGATTAACAGCAGATACACTAGGAAATACCATAGACATCCCAGATGGTTCAGCTTACACAATTCTGACTAAAAAATTAAAGTTGAGCAAATTTCTGCTCAATGGGTGCCAAATTGCACCCAGATCAGCTGCAGATAAGAGCTGAGTTTCCATGGAAATTTTAAACAATGGGATCAAGATTCTGAATACTTTCTTTGGAGAATTGTAACGGGAGATGAAACATGGCTTTAGCAGTATGATCTTGAAGACAAAGCACAATCAAAGCAATGCTATCAAGAGGTGTAAATTGTCTAGTCAAAGTAAAAGCTGGCTGGTCAAAAGCAAAGGTCCCAACACACACAAAAAGCAAAGGTCATGACAACAGGTTTTGCAGATCTTAAAGGTATTTTGCTTGTTGACTTTCTGGAGGGCCAGAGAACGTTTTAAGAAAGCCAAGCTTTAGCAGAAAAATAACCAGGAAAGCTTTACTATAGAGTTCTTCTCCACCACAACAACGCTCATGTTCATTCCTCTCAACAAGGGCAATTTCACAAGAATTCTGACATGTAAAATCACTGGGCATCCACCATACAGTCCCAGTTTGGTTATTTCTTTTTTTTCTTTTTCTTTTTTTTCGAGACAGGGTCTCACTCTGTCGCCCAGGCTGGAGTGCAGTGGCACGATCTTGGCTCACCGCAACCTCCACCTCCCAGGTTCATGTGATTCTCCTGCTTCAGCCTCCTGAGTAGCTGGGATTACAGGTGTGTGCCATCTTGCCCAGGTAATTTTTATATTTTAATAGAGATGGGTTTTCACCACGTTGGCCAGGCTGGTCTCAAACTCCTGACCTCAAGTGATCCACCTGCCTCTGCTTCCCACAGTTCTGGGATTACAAGTGTGGGCCACCATGCCCTGCCCCAGTGTGATTATTTCTGACTTTTCTTTATTTCCCAATCTTAAAAAATCTTTAAAGAGCATCCATTTTCCTTCAGTTAATAATGTAAACAATTCTTCATTGACATGGTTAAATTCTTAGGACCATCAGCTCTTTAGAGACGGACTAAATGGCTGGTATCATCCCTTATAAAAATGTCTTGAGCTTGGCGGGACCAAGATGGCTAACTAGAAGCAGCAGCAGTTAGAGGCTCCAATTGAGAAGAAACAAAACAGCATGTCAATCCTGCACTGGCAATCGAGGTATCCAGGTTTTATCATCAGGACTGACTAGGCAGTTGGTGTGACCCATAAAGAGCAAGAAAAAGCAGGGTGCTGCGTCGGCCCACATGGAGAAAGGGCAAACCCCACCCCCAACCAAGGAAGGTGGTGAATGAGTATGCTATCTTGCCTGGGAAACCGTGCTTTTTCCACAGATCTGCGCAACCCACAGATCGGAAGATTCCACTCGTGAGCCCATACTACCAGGGCCTTGGGTCCCAACCACAGAGCTGCACAGACTCTCAACAGCCACTCTTGCTGGAATCTGCCTAAAGGTAATGAGTTCCCGGAGGAGAAGCCGCCATCATCACTGCAGCTGCCTGCTGTCTAAGCCATCTGAGCTTCCAGGGGGAGAGATGGCAGCCATCACTGCGGCTGTCAGCTGCCTAAGACAACTGAGCTCCCTGAGGTGGGGGCGGCCCTCATCACTGTGGTTGCTAGCTGCCTAAGAAAACTGAGCTCCCTGCGGGAGGGAAGGCAAACATTACTCCAGCTGCTAGCTAAGTACACTGCTACCTGACACTGAACTGGGGGTAGCGGGGAGGGTGGCAGCCATCACTATAGCTCTAGACCACATTTTTCCCCTCCTGGAGCCGGAGAGACAGGACAGCTTGGTTCCAAGAGGTAATCCCCACAGTGCAGTATACAGGCTGTGGCTGAAAAATGCTGAAAACTCAAAAGGCCAGAGTGCCTCTTCTCCAAATGATCACAACACTTCTCCAGCAAGTGCACAGAACTGGACAGAGGTACCATCCTGATACCAAAACCTGGCAGAGATACAACAAAAAAGGAAAACTTCAGGCCAGTATCCCTGATGAACACTGATGCAAAAATCCTCAATAAAATACTGTCAAACTGAATCCAGCAGCACATCAAAAAGTTTATCCACCATGATCAAGTCTGCTTCATCCCTGGGATGCAAGGCTGGTTCAACATACGCAAATTAATAAACATAATTCATCACATAAACGGAACTAATGACAAAAACCACAAGATTATCTCAAAAGATGCCGAAAAAGCCTTTGATAAAATTCAACATCCTTTCATGTTAAAAACAATCAATAAACTAGGTATTGATGGAACATATCTCAAAATAGTAAGAGCCATTTACGACAAACCCATAGCCAATATCATACAGAATGGGCAAAACCCAGAAGCACTTCCCTTGAAAAGCAGCACAAGACAAAGATGCCCTCTCTCACCACTCCTATTCAACATAGTATTGGAAGTTCTGGCCAGGGCAATCAGGCAAGAGAAAGAAATAACGGGTATTCAAATAGGAAAAGAGGAAGTCAAATTGCCTCTGTTTGCAGACAACATGATCCTATATCTAGAAAAACCCATTGTCTCAGCCCAAAAGCTCCTTAAGCTGATAAGCAACTTCAGCAAAGTCTCAGGACACAAAATCAATGTGCAAAAATCACAAGCATTCCTGTACACCAACAATAGACAAGCAGAGAGCCAAATCATGAATGAACTCCCATTCACAATTGCTACAAAGAGAATAAAATACCTAGGAATACAGCTAACAAAAGATGTGAAGGACCTCGTCAAGGAGAACTACAAACCACTGCTCAAGGAAATAAGATAGGACACAACAAATGGAAAAACATTCCATCCTCATGAATAGGAATAATCAATATCATGAAAATGGCCACACCGCCCAAAGTAATTTATAGAGTCAATGTTATTTCCATCAAACTACCATTGACATTCTTCACAGAATTAGAAAAAATGACTTTAAAATTCGTATGGAACAAAAAAAGAGCCCATATAGCCAAGACAATTCTAAGCAAAAAGAACAAAGCTGGAGGCATCACGCTACCTGACTTCAAACTATACTACAAGGCTACAGTAACCAAAACAGCATGGTACTGGTACCAAAACAGACACATAGACCAATGGAACAGAATAGAGATCTCAGAAATAAGACCACACATTTACAACCATCTGACCTTTAACAAACTTGACAAAAACAAGCAATTGGAAAAGAATTCCCTACTTAATTAATAGTGCTGGGAAAACTGGCTGGTCATATGCAGAAAATTGAAACTGGACCCCTTCCTTACACCTTATATAAAAATTAACTCAATATGGATTAAAGACTTAAATATAAAACCCAAAACCATAAAAACCCTAGAAGAAAATATAAGCAACACCATTCAGGACATAGGCATGAGCAAAGATTTTATGATGAAATCACCAAAAGCAATTGCAACAGAAGCAAAAATTGATAAATGAGGTCTAGTTAAACTAAATACCTTCTGCACAGCAAAAGAAACTATCATCAGAGTGAACAGGCAACCTATAAAATGGGAGAAAATTTTTGCAATCTACCCATCTGACAAAGGTCTAATATCCAGAATTTACAAGGAACTTAAACAAATTTACAAGGAAAAAATACAAACAACCCCATCAAAAAGTGGGCAAAGGACATGAACAGACACTTCTCAAAAGAAGACATTTATGCAGCCAACAAACATGTGAAAAAAAGCTCAACATCACTGATCACTAGAGAAATGCAAATCAAAACCACAGTGATATACCATCTCACACCAGTCAGAATGGTGATTATTAAAAAGTCAAGAAACAATAGATGCTGGTGAGGTTGTGGAGAAATAGGAATGTTTTTATGTTGTTGGTGAGAATGTAAATTAATTCAACCATTTTGGAAAACAGTGTGGCAATTCCTCAAAGATCTAGAACCAGAAATACCATTTGACCCAGCAATCCCATTACTGAGTATATACTCAAAGGAATGTAAATCATTCTATTATAAGGATACAAGCACACGTATGTTTATTGCAGCACTATTCACAATAGCAAAGACATGGAATCAACCCAAATGCCCATCAATGATAGACTGGATAAAGGAAATGTAGTACATATACACCATGGAATACTATGCAGCCATAAAAAAGACTGAGGTCATGTCCCTTGCAGGGACATGGATGAAGCTGGAGGCCATCATCCTCAGCAAACTAACACAGGAACAGAAAACCAAACACCACTTGTTCTCACTCATAAGTGGGAGCTGAACAATGAGAACACATGGGCACAGGGAGGGGAACAACACATACCTGGGCCTGTCATGGGAGTGGGGGAGGAAGAGCATCAGGAAAAATAGCTAATGCATGTGGGGCTTAATACCTAGGTGATAGGTGCAGCAAACCACCATGGCACACATTTTCCTATATAACAAACCTGCACATTCTGCACATGTATCGTGGAGCTTAAAATAAAACAAAATAAAATAAATTTTAAAAGTGTCTTGAACTTGATGGAGATTTTGTTGAGAAATAAAATTGATAATTTTTATTTTGATCTTTTAATTCTATTTTCCATGAACTTTTGGAAGTCCCCACATAGGAAAGTAATCCATCTAAGTAGAAGGAATATTTCTCAATGTATGCTATGAAGACAGTATCACCCTGATGCCAAAACCAAAGACAATACAAAAATAAAAAGAAAACACAGAGTGATAACTTTTATAAATTTAGATTTCAACAATTTTTAAAATACTAGCAAATAAAATTTTACAATGAGTAAAAAGAATTATACACCATGATCAAGTGGGCTTTTTTCATATATTCAATATTTGAAAATCTGTCATTATAATCTACCATATTAAAGGGCTAAAGAAGAAAAGACATATGTTCATAATGATTATGTCAATAAATGCAGAAAGACATTCAACCAAACTTCAATATCAATTCACGGTTTTTAAAATTCTCAGAAAAATAGAAATAGAGGAGAACTTTCTCAACCCAGTAAGAAGCATCTATAAAAAATCTATAGACAGATTTATATTTAATTGTGAAGAACTGAATGCTTTTATCCCAAGATCAAGAAAAAAGCAAAAATATCTATTCTCACCACTCGTATTCAACATAGCACTGGAAGTTCTACACAATGCAATAAGGCAAGAAAAGTAAATAAGAGGAATACAAACGAGAAAGAAATAAAATTGTTTTTATTCATGTTTGACACAACTGTGTACTTTAAAATCCCAAGGAATGGACAAAAAATAAACCACTTCTAGAATAAATGAATTCAGCAAAGTCACTAAAAAAAAGATGAACATAGAAAAGTAAATTGTATACCCATATACTAACAATGAACAAATGGATACCAAAATTTAAAATATAATACCATTTCCATTAACTCAAAAAGGATACTTAGGTGTAAATGTAAAAAAACCATGTACAGGACTTGTGTTCTAAAAACTACAATAACTACACAACACTGATGAAAGATTTTTAAAATCTAAATAAATGGAGAGACATACACTGTGCTCATGTGTTGGAAGACTCAAAAAGTCATGGAGATACATCGATTTTTCCTGAATTGATATATAATTTTACACAGTTTCTACCAAAATGCCAGCAAGATTTTCTGTGGCTATAGATGAGATTACTGTAAAATTTATATGGAATACCAAAGGAACTAGAATAATTAAAACAATTTTGAGAAACAAGAAAAAAGTAGGAAAAATCAATGTACTCTATTTTAAGATTTTTACTAAATAGCTACAGTAATCAAGACTGTGTATAATAATAAGTAGATGAATAGACATGTAAATCAATGGAACAAGATAAAATAAATAATCCAAAAGTAGACCCATGCAAATATGCCCATCTGAATTTTGACAAAGGTGCAAATGCAACTAACTGAAGGAAAGATAGGCTTCCAAAAAATGGCATTGGAGCAATTGGACATCCATGGGCAAAAAAAATAAGCTTCAGCCTAAGTCTCACATCTTATACTAAAATTAATTCAAAATTTATCACAAACTTAAAAGTAACATAACATTCTAAGATTTTTAGAAAACAACATAAAGGAAAATATTCAGGATCTAGGGCTAGGCAAAAGGCTCTTAGACTTGACATCAAAAGCATAATCTGTAAAATGAAAAACTAATAAGTTGAATTTCTTAAACATTTTTAAACTTTTACCCTTTTAAAAAAAACATATTAAAAGCATAAAAGATAAAGCTAAAATTTTGGAGAAAATGTTTGCAAGCACATATCTGACAACACACTTATATCTAGTACATATAAAAGAACAGTCAAAACTCAACAGTAAAAAAGCAAACAGCCCAATTAGAACCTGGATATGAAAAGACATTTTACCAAAGAAAATATCCAAGAAGGCAAAGAAACACATGAACATATTTTCAATGCCAGTAGCTATTAGGGAGGAGCAATAAAACTACAATTGGGTATTATTAGATACCTATCAGAATGACTCAGATAAAATGTTGAAAACACCAAATGTTAGAAAAAAATTCAGAGAAACTAGATTACTCATACATTCTGGTGATAATGCAAACTGCTATAGCCACTCTGATAAAGAGTAAGGCAGTTTCTTTAAAAACAAAACAAAGCAACCAACTACCCATGGACCTCTCATATAGAACAATAATTGCATTCTTTGGCATTTATTTAATAGAAGTAAAAACTTGTGTTCACACAAAAACCTTTACACAAATGGTAATACAAATTTCATTCATAATATTCCTGAACTTAAAACATCCCAGATGTCCTTCAACAGATGAATAATAAACAGGGGAACATCTATGTAATGGAATTCTATTCCATTATATTAATACATTCAATAACCTGGATGAATTTCCAGAGAATTATGCTGAGTGAAAATGACTAATCACAAAATGTTTTATACTGTATGATTTTATTTATATATCATTCTGGAAATAACAACATTTTAAAAGTGGAAAACAGATTAGTCGTTGCAAGGGTTAAGAAAGAGGTGGGCCAGGGGTGAAAGGTAGTATGGGCATAAAAGGGCAATATAAGGAATCTCTGTAGTAATGGAAATGTTCTGGATCTTAACTGCATCAATATCAATATTTTGGATGTAATATTGATAGTCTTGGAAGATGTTACCATTGTGGAAAAGTGGGTAAAGAGTACAGAGGATTATTATTTCTTATAATTGCATGTGAGCCTACAATTATCTTAAATAATAAGTGTGTTCATCTGATTTGCTTTGCTATAAAGGACTACCTGAGGTCAGTACTATATAAAGAAAATAGGTTTATTTGGCCAATGGTTTGGCAGACTGTACAAGAAGCATGGTGGCAACATCTATTTCTGATAGCCTCTTATTCCTGAGGCCTCAGGAGCTTTTATTCATAATAGAAGGTGAAGGAGGAGGCCAGGCATGGTGGCTCATGCCTGTAACCCCAGCACTTTGGGAGGCCAAGGCGGGCAGGTCATGAGGTCAGGAGTTCGAGACCAGCCTGGCCAACATAGTGAAACCCCATCTCTACTTAAAAAAATACAAAGATTAGCCCGGTGTGGTAGCACGCGCCTGTAGTCCCCACTACTCTGGAGGCTGAGGCAGGAGAATTGCTTGAACGAGGGAAGTGGAGGTTGCAATGAGCTGACATCGCTCCACTGCACTCCAGCCTGGGCGACAGAGTGAGACTCTGTCTCAAAAAAAAAAAAAAAAGGGAGAGAGAAGGTGAAAGGGGAGCAGGCATATCACATGGCAAGAGAGGTGCCAGGCTCCTGTAAATAAGTAGCTATCATGTGAACTAATAAAGTGAGAATTCATTTATTACCACAGGGAGGGCACCAAGCCATTCATGAGGGATCCACCTCCATGACCAAAATACCTCCCACTAGGCTCACCTCCAAAATTGGAGATCACATTTTAACATCAGATTTGGAGGATACAAATATCCAAACCATATCAACAAGTTTAATTATAAAATCAGAAGCGAAGACAGCAAAATCATGAACAAGGAGGCTCCGAACTTTTGTCCCCCAACAGAAACATCAACAAAACAAAAAACAGTCAAAGGTCTACAACAACCAAGTAAACGCCCAATCAAGAAAAAAAAATCTATGAACATATTTAGACTGTAAGAAAAAAAAAATCTAGCCAGGAGCTGTGGCCCATGCCTGTAATCCCAGCAATTTGGGAGGCCAAGGTAGGAGGTTTGCTTGGGCCAGGAGTTTGAGACTAGCCTGGGTAGTCAGACTCCATCTCTACCAAAAAATAAAAATGAAAACAGCCTGGAAAACAGAGAAAGACCCTGTCTCAGAAAGAAACATTTGGTGATGATTTTACTCTTCCTTGCCTGACCTTCTTCCTGGCACAATATCAAACATGGTCTTGAATTGGTGACAGCACAGTTCCCAGTTCCTTCCCTAGAACCAAAGGGTGAAGAGCAGACTTCATTTACAATTTTTTTTGTTTGTCTCTTCTAATCTGTCTAGGGAAACAACTGAAGGACTGAAGCAAAGTGTTTGATTGTTTGAAGGTTAAAGAATTTGCAGGTGGCTATAATTTTAATGTTTGTCCCCTCCAGGCTTCATGTTGAAATTTGATCCCCATTGTGGCAATGTTAGGAGGTAGGACCTAGTGGGAAGCATTTGGTTCATGAAGGTGGATACCTCATGAATAGATTAATACCTTCCCTGCTGGGTTAGTGAGTTTATGCTCTAAATAGTTCCTACGAGAGCTGGTAGTTAAAAAGAACCTGGCATGCACACATAAACATCTGCCTCCTCTCTTATCATTTGATCTCTTTGCACACTGCCTAACCTTCCACATTCCACCATGATATGTGGCAGCCTGAGACCCTCAGATGGAAATATGCAATCTTGAACTTTCCAGTCACCAGAACCATGAGACTAATCATTTCTTTATAAACTATGTGGTCCCACTAGACTGTTACAGCATTACTAAACAGACTAAGACACAGGCACTGCTCCTAAAAGCTACAAGGTGACTACAAACCCACAGACATCTGGAGGAAGATATTATGCTTGGGGACATGTAATATATCATCTAAGACCTGGAAGATAAGCTGGGGTGACACTCTGTGGGAAATTAAGACATTCAAATTCAGCCACATGTATAAGGAAATTTAAAAAGCCATGTGCATGTCCAGGCAAGACATATGCTTAGAAAAATTTCCACCTTGAGATAATCCCTAAGCTTACAACAAGCCTATGTATGGTGAAGAAGTGCTCCAGTACACAGGCAATCTGAAAAGACTGGGAGAAATGGCTTCTCTCTTTCTCTGATTTTGATTTGTTTGTTTAGGTTCATGACACTCAAGGGAATCCATCAAATAACTAGACGAACACAAGCTAGAGGATCAGAAACTTCAGTGATCACATTTGACAAGGAATAGTCTTTGCAAAACATGCTTGGAAAAGTCTCAAAAGAAAGAACTACTACAGCCTTCAACAATTTAAAACATTAAACTCTGGGAAAGTGAGATAATCTTATTTTCAAAGTTTTCACAAAATATCAAAATGTCTAATTTTCAAGAAAAAATCACATCATACAAAGAAACAGGAAAACATGTCTTATTCAGAGAAACATAATACATGGACAGTAATCATCCCTAAGATTTCCCTGACCTTGGACTTAATGGGCAAAGAATTTAAAATAATTGTCTTAAATATGCTCAAATAGCTAAGAAAAAATATGAACAAAGAAGTAAAAAAAATCAAGAGATAACATATGAACCAAATGAGAACATTGACAAAGATATAAAAATTATGAAAAGAAACCCAACAAATTCTGAAGCTGAAAAATACAATCACTAAATGAAAAGTTCACTAGAGGGGTTCAACCCACAGATTTAAGTAGACAGAAGAAGCTGAGTATAGTGGCTCATGCCTGTAGTCCTAGTACTTTGGGATGCCGAGGTGGGAGGATTGCTTGAGCCCAGGAGTTCAAGACCAGCCTAGCCAACACAGTGAGATGAGACCTCATCTCTGAAAAAAGTGAATTAATTAGACAGAATAAATAATCAGCAACTTGAAAATAAGATAATTGACATTATCATTGGAAAAGCACGAAGGAAAAACGAATAAAGAAAAGTGAGGAGAGCCTAAAGGACTTGTGGGATATCATCAAGCATACAAATATATACATATGAGAGTCCCATAAGGAGAAGAGAGAAAGAGAGACAGAGATAAAAATGGTTGAAATGAATATTTTTAAACAATAGTGTTTGAAAACTTTCCACATTTAATGACAGACATCAATCTACAAATTCAAGAAGCTCAACAAAGTCCGAGTGGGAAACCGCAAAGAAACCCACACTAAGACACATTATAATCAAACTATGAAAATCCAAAGACAAAGATAGAATCTTGAAAGCAAGAGAAAAGCAACTCAATATGTATAGGAAATGCTCAATAAAATTATCAACCAACTTCTCATCAGAAACCTTGCAGACCAAAAAGCAATGGAATTATAAATTTAACGCATTGAAAGAAAAAAACTGTATATCAATAATTTCATATCCACCAAAACTGTCATTCAAATATGAGGAAAAAATTAAGATATTCCCAGATAGGGCCAGGCGTGGTGGCTCACGCCTGTAATCCCAGCACTTTGGGAGGCTGAGGAGGGCAGATCATGAGGTCAGGAGATCGAGAACATCCTGGCTAACAAAGTGAAACCCCATCTCTACTAAAAATACAAAAAAAAAAAATTAGCCAGGCATGGTGGCAGGTGCCTGTAGTCCCAGCTACTCGGGAGGCTGAGGCAGGAGAATGGCGTGAACCCAGGAGTGGAGGTTGCAGTGAGCCAAGATCGCACCACTGCACTCCAGCCTGGGGTGAAAGAGCAAGACTCCGTCTCAAAAAAAAAAAAGATATTCCCAGATAAATGAAAGATGAGTTCATCGTCACTAAACTTCTCTACAAGAAATTCTAATGGGGAATCCTTCAGTTTGAAATGAAAAAATGCTAGACAGTAACTCAAATCTGAATGGAGATATACAAATCACCAGTTAAGGTAAATATATGGGCATATGCAAAAGCCAATATTGTGGTAATTTTGGTTTCTAAGTGGTATAGTTTGGCTCCATGTTCCCACCCAAATCTCATGATGAATTGTAATTCTCGAAGTTGGGGGAGGGATCTGGTGGGGGGTGATTAAATCATGAAGGCAAATTTCCCCCTTGCTGTTCTCACGAAAATGAGTGAGTTCTCATGAGATCTGGTTGTTTGAAAGTGTCCCCCTTTGCTCTCTTTCTCCTGCCACCATGTGAAGATGTGTTTGCCTCTCCTTCACCCTTATGCCATGATTATAAATTTCATAAGGCCTCCCCAACCATACTTCCTGTACAGCCTGCAGAACTGTGAGTCAATTAAACCTCTTTTCTTCATAAATTACCCAGTCTCGGGTAATTCTTCATGGCAGTGTGTGAATGAACTAATACAGTAACTCTACTTTTTGCTGTCTACAGAATTTAAAAGACAAATGCATAAAAATATTATAAAACTATGTTATTTGGCATACAGTGCCTAAAGATGCAATGTGTAACAACTATTACACAAAGTGAGAAATGGAGCAGTAGAGAAGCAGAGTTTTTATTTGTGATTGAAGTTAAGTTTGTATCAACCCAAATTAGATTTTTATAACTTTTTTTTAGACAAGGTCTCACTCTGTTGCCCAGGCTGGAGTGCAGTGGTGCAATCTCAATTCACTACAACCTCAACCTCTCAGGCTTGAGTGATTCTTATGCCTCAGCCTCCCCAGTAGCTGCCATTACAGGTATGTGTCACCAGGCCCAGGTAATTTTTGTATTTTTAGTAGAGACAGGGTTTTGCCATATTGGCCAAGCTGGTCTTGAACTCCTGACCTCAAGTAATCTACCCACCTCAGTCTCCCAAAGTGCTAGGATTACAGGCATGATCCACCATGCCTGGCCAGATTGTTATAACTTTAGGATGTCATGTGTAATCGCCATGGTGATCACAAAGATAGTATCTATAGGATATAAACAAAAGGAAATGAGAAGATAATCAAAGTATATGACTTTAAAGAATCAACTAAACACAAATGAAGGTAGTACTGTAGTAAATTAAGACAAAGATATGACATATGTAAAACAAATAATGAAATGATGAGAGTAAGTCCTTTCTCATCAATAATTACTCTAAATATAAATCAGTTAAACTCTCCATTCAAAAGGCAAAGTTTGGCAGAATAAATTTTAAAAAATACAAACCTACTATTTGCCATGTACAGGAGACACATTTTAGACTCAAAGAGAGAAGTGAATTAAAAGTAAAGGGTTGGCAAAAGATAAATTATGAAAACTGGAATCATACAAAAGCAAGGGTGGCTATACTTAGACACAATATAGTTGAAAATAAAAATGTCATTAGAATAAATATTGATATTTTATATTGATAAAATGGTCAGCCCATCTTGAAATTATGAAATTTATATATATATATATATATATATCTCCACTGAAACATCAGAGCCCCAAAATACATGAACCAAAAGCTGAAAGAATTGAGGGGAGAACTAGATAACTGAACGATAATAGTTGGAGACTTCAACATTCCATTGTCAATACTGAAAACAGCAACTATGCAATGATCAGCAATGAAATCAGAGACTTCAACAATAGTATATGCAAGTTACACCTAACAGATATCTATAGAGAACTCCATCCAACAACAGCAGAATACACATTCTACTCACTTACATATGGCACAGTTTCCACGTTTGACTATATGCTAGGCCATAAAGCAAGCCTCAACAAATGTAAAAGCATTGAACTCATAAAAGAATAAACAATCACAATGAAAACTGGAAATTAATAACAGAAAGAAATGTGGGAAATGCATCCAGAACATATATCCAGAACATATCTATATATACATATATTCTGATATATATATCTGATATATATATCTGTAAAGGCTTTATTGTACTTCTTATATCCATAAAGATTCTTACCAGTATGAATTCTCTAATATGTAGTAAGGCAGAATTAACTTTATATATTTTCCTACATTTCTTACATTCATCAAGTTTCTCATCAGTTT